>NC_000004.12:49486924-49658100 GCF_000001405.40 Homo sapiens | reverse complement strand
GAATTCCATACCATTCCATTCCACTCTGGATGATTCCATTCCATTCCATTGTTTTCCGTTCCATTCCATTCCATTCCATTCCATTCCATTCCATTCCATTCCACTCTGCTTGATTCCATTTCATTCCATTCCATTCCTTTCCATTCCATTCCTCTCCTGTTGATTCCATTTCATTCCATTCCATTCCAATGCACTTGGGTTGATTCCAGTCGGTAGCATTCCATTCCATTGCATTCCATTCATTTACATTACACTCCGTTTGATTCCATAGCATTCCATTCCATTCCATTCCATTCCCTTCCCTTCCATCCCATTCGTGTTGATTCCATTCCATTCTGTTCCATTCCATTCCATTCAATTCCTTTCCATTCCATTCCTCTCCATTCCATTCGGGTTGATTCCATTCCATTCCATTCCATTCCATTCCATTCCATTCCACTCCACTCCAATCCAATCCATTCCACTCCATTACATTCCATTCCATTCCACCCGGATTCATTCCATTCCATTCCATTCCATTCCATTCCATTCCATTCCATTCCAGTTGATTCCATTGGATTCGATTCGGTTCCATTCCATTCCATTCCATTCCACTCGAGTTGATTCCACTGCATTCCATTGCATTTCATTGCATTTCATTCCAGTTGGGTGCATTCCATTCCATTCCGTTCCACTCCACTCGGGTTGATTCCATTCCGTTCCTTTCCATTCCATTCCATTCCATTCCTTTCCAATCTATTCGTGTTGATTCCATTCCATTCCACTCCAATCAATTCCATTCCATTCCAATCCAATCCATTCCATTCAATTCCACTCGCATTCAATCTATTCCATTGCATTTCATTCCGTTGTATTCCATTCCATTCCATTGCATTCCATACCATTCCATTCCACTCTGGATGATTCCATTCCATTCCATTATGTTCCGTTCCATTCCATTCCATTCCATTCCACTGGGGTTGATTCCATTCCATTCCATTCCATTCCATTCCATTCCATTCCACTCGCAGTGTTTCCATTCCAATCCTTTCCATCTCATTCTATTCCATTCCATTCCATTCCTTTCTATTCCATTCCATTCCACTCCATTCCATTCCATTCCTCTCCGGTTATTCCATTCCATTCCATTGCATTCCACTCGGGTTGTTTCCATTGAATTCCATTCCATTTTATTCCACTCCATTCCATTCTGTTCCATTACATTCCATTCTATACCATTCCACTATGGCTGATTCCATACCTTTCTATTCCATTCCATTCCATTAAAATCCTTTCCATTCCATTCCCCTCGGGTAGATTCCATTCCATTCCGTTCCATTCCATTCTGTTCCGTTCCGTTCCATTCCGTTCCATTCCATTCCATTCTATTCCATTCCATATCATTCCACCAAACTTGATTGCATGTTGTTCCATTCCATTCAATTCCATTCCATTCCATTCCATTCCATTCCTTTCCACTCAGGGTGATTCCATTCCATTTAATTCCAATGCATTCCATTCCAGTTGATAGCATTGCATTGCATTGTTTCCATTGCATTCCATTACATTCCTTTCCACTCGGTTTGATTCATTTCCATTCCATTCCATTCAATTCCATTCCATTCCATTCCATTCCATACCATTCCACCAAAGTTGAGTGCATGCTATTCCATCCCATTCCATTACATTCCATTCAATTCCATTCCTTTCCAGTTGGGTTGATTCTATTCAATTCAATTCCGTTCTGATCCGTCCCTTTCCGCTCCATTTCATTCCATTCCTTTTCATTCCATTGCATTCCACTCGGGTTGATTCCATTCCATTCCATTCCATTCCATTCCATTCCATTCCATAACCTTCGTGTTCATTCCTTTCCATTCGATTCCATTCCATACCATTCCAATCCAATCTGTTCCATTCCATTAGGGTTGATTCCGTTCCATTGTATGCCCTTTTAGTCCATTCCATTCCATTCCATTCCATTCTATTCCATTCCATATCATTCCACCAAACTTGATTGCATGTTGTTCCATTCCATTCAATTCCATTCCATTCCATTCCGTTCCTTTCGGGTAGATTCCATTCCATTCCTTTCCATTCCATTTAATTCCTTTCCATTCCATTCCTCTCGGGTTGTTTCCGTTGCTTTCCATTCAATTGCAATGCACTTGGGTTGATTCCATTCCCTTCCATTCCGTTCCATTCCATTCCACTCGGGTTGATTCCATTTCGTTCCTTTCCATTCCATTCCATTCCATTCCATTCCATTCCATTCCGTTCCATTCAATTCGTGTTGATTCCATTCCATTCCACTCCAATACATTCCATTCAATTCCTTTCCACTCGCGTTGATTCCATTTCTTTCCTTTCCATTCCATTCCATTCCGTTCCATTCAATTCGTGTTGATTCCATTCCATTCCACTAAAATCCATTCCATTCCATTCCAATCCATTGCATTCCATTCAATTCCACTCGCATTCAATCTATTCCATTGAATTTCATTCCGTTTTGTTCCATTCCATTCCACTGCATTCCATACCTGTCCATTCCACTCGGGATGATTCCGTTCCATTCCATTATATTCGGTTCCATTCCATTCCATTCCTTTCCATTCCATTCCATTCCATTCCACTCTGGTTGATTCCATTCCATTCCATTGCGTTCCATTCCTTTCCACTCGGGTTGTTTCCATTTCATTCCTTTCCATTTCATTCTATTCCATTCCATTCCATTCCATTCTATTCCATTCCATTCCACTCCTTTCCATTCCATTCATCTCCGGTTATTCCATTCCATTCCATTCCGTACCATTCCATTCGGTTTGTTGCCATTCCATTCCATTCCATTTTATTCCATTCCATTCCATTCCATTACATTACATTACATACCATTCCACTCGGGTTGATTCCATACCATTCTATTCCATTCCATTTCATTAAATTCCATTCCATTCCATTCCACTCGGTTAGATTCCATTCCATTCCATTCCATTCCATTCCATTCCATTAGTTTTTAATCGGGTTGATTTCAATCCATTCCATTATATTCCAGTCCTTTCCATTCCATGCCATTCCACTCGAGTTCTTTCCATTTTGTTGTATTCCATTCCATTCAATTCAATTCCATTCCATTCCATTCCATTCCATTCCATTGCATTCCTTTGCATTCCATTCCACACGGGTTGTTTCCATTCCGTTCCATTAGTTTCCATTCCATTCCATTCCTTTCCATTCCATTCCATTCCATTACATTCCATTCCATTCCTTTCCACTCAGGGAGATTCCATTCCATTCCATTCCAATGCATTCCATTCCAGTTGATACCATTGCATTGCATTGTTTCCATTCCATTCCATTCCATTCCATTCCATTCCATTCCATTCCATACCATTCCATCAAAGTTGAGTGCATGCTATTCCATTCCATTCCATTCCTTTAAATTCAATTCCATTCCTTTCCATTTCGGTTGATTCCATTCCATTCAATTCCGTTCCGTTCCGTCCCATTCCGTTCCATTCCATTCCATTCCATTTCATTCCATTGTATTCCACTCAGGTTGATTCCATTGCATTCCATTCCATTCCATACCCTTCGGGTTGATTCCATTCCATTCGATTCCATTCCGTACAATTCCACTGCATTCCATTCCATTCCATTCGGGTTGATTCCGTTCCATTCCAGGCCCTTTTATTCCATTCCATCCCCTTCCATTCCATTCCATACCATTAAACCTAAATTGATTGCATGTTATTGCATTCCATTCAATTCTATTCCATTCCATTCCATTCCATTCCATTCCTTTCACTTGGTTTTATTCCATTCCATTCCATTCCATTCCATTCCATTCCATTCCACTCCATTCCATTCCACTCCACTCCGGTTGATTCCATTAAATTCCCTTCCATTTCATTCCATTCCGTTTCACTGGAGTTGATTCCATTCCATTCCATTCCACTTTATTCCATTCCATTCCGTTCCATTCCTTTCCATTCCATATCATTCCACTACGGTTGATTCCATGCCATTCCATTCCATGAAATTCCATTCCATTCCACTAAACTCGTGTTGATTCCTTTCCATTCCATTCCACTTCATTCCATTCCATTACATTCCATTCCATTGCATTCCATTCTATTCCATTCCATTCCATTCCATTCCATTCCATTGCATTCCATTCCACACGGGTTGTTTCCATTCCGTTCCATTAGTTTCCATTCCATTCCATTCCTTTCCATTCCATTCCGTACCATTCCATTCGGGTTTATTCCATTCAGTTCCATTCCATTCCATTCCATTCTATTCCATTCCATTCGGGTTTATTCCATTCCATTCCATTCCAGTCCATTGCATTCCATTCCATTCCACTCCACTCCATTCCATTCCATTCCACTCGTGTTGATTCCTTTCCATTCCATTCCATTCCATTCCATTCGGATTCATTCCGTTGCATTCCATTCCATTACTTTCCATTCCATTCTATTTCATTTCATTCCATTCCATTGCATTCCATTCCATTCCATTCCATTCCTTTCCATTCCATTCCATTCAATTCCATACCATTCCCTCAAACTTGATTGCATGTTATTCCATTCCATTCATTTCCATTCCATTCCATTCCATTCCATTCTTTCCACTCGGGTTGATTCCATTCCATTCAATTCCGTTCCGTTCCATTCCATTCCATTCCATTCCATTCCATTCCATTCCATACCCTTCGGGGTGATTCCTTTCCATTCCATTCAATTCCATACCATTCCACTCCATTCCGTTCCATTCCAATCGCGTTGATTCCGTTCCATTCCATGCCCTTTTATTCCATTCCATTCCATTCCATTGCATTCCATTCCATTCCCTTCCATACAATTCCACCAATGTTGATTGCATGTTATTCCATTCCATTCCATTCCATTGCATTCAATTCCATTCCATTGCATTCCACTCGGGATGTTTCCATTCCATTCCATTCCATTCCATTCCATTCCATTCCATTCCATTGCATTCCATTCCATTCATTTCCACTCGGTTTGATTTCATTCCATTCAATTCCGTTCCGTTCCATTCCGTTCCATTCCATTCCATTTCATTCCATTGCACTCCACTCGTGTTGATTCCATTCCATTCCATTCCGTTGCATTCCATTCCATTCCATTCCATACCCTTCTAGTTGATTCCTTTCCATTCCATTCCATTCCATACCATTCCACTCCATTCCGTTCCATTCCATTCGGGTTGATTCCGTTCCATTCCATGACCTTTTATTCCATTCCATTCCATTCAATTCCATTCCATACCATTCCACCAAAGTTGATTGCATGTTATTCCATTCCATTCCATTCCATTCCATTCCATTCCATTCCTTTCCACTCGGGTTGATTCCTTTCCTTTCAATTCCGTTCCGTTCCATTCCGTTCCGTTCCAATCCTTTCCATTTCATTCCATTGCATTCCACTCGGGTTGATTCCATTCCTTTCCACTCCATTCCATTACACTGTATTCCATACTCTTCAGGTTGATTCCTTTCCATTCCATTCCATTCATCACCATTCCACTTCATTCCGTTCCATTCCTTTCGGGTTGATTCCATTCCATTCCGTTCCGTTCCATTCCATTCCATACCATTCCACTAGGGTTGATTCCATACCATTCCATTCCATTGCATTCCATTCCATTCCATTCCACTCGGTTTGATTCCATTCCATTCCATTCCATTCCGTTCCATCCCACTCCATTCCATTACATTCCATTCCACTCGGGTTAATTCCGTTCCATTCCATTCCAATCCATTCCATTCCATTCCATTCCATTCCATTCCATTCCATTCCATTCCATTAGGGTCCATTCCATTCCATTCCGTTCCGTTCCTTTCCATTCCATTCAATTCCATTCCATTCCTTTCCATTCCATTCATTCCTTTCCATTCCATTCCATTCCACTCGGGTTGATTCCATTCCAGTCCATTCCATTCCATTAAATTTCATTCCATTCCATTCCACTCGTGTAGATTCCATTCCATTCCATTCCATTCCATTCCATTCCATTCCATTCCATTCCATTAGTTTTTAATCGGGTTGATTTCAATCCATTCCATTATATTCAAGTCCTTTCCATTCCATGCCATTCCACTCGGGTTGTTTCCATTTTGTTGTATTCCATTCCATTCCATTCCATTCCATTCCATTCCATTCCATTGCATTCCATTCCACTCGGTTTGTTTCCATTCCGTTCCATTAGTTTCCATTCCATTCCATTCCTTTCCATTCCATTCCACTCAGGGTGATTCCTTTCCTTTCCATTCCAATTCTTTCCATTCCAGTTCATACCATTGCATTGCATTGTTTCCATTCCATTCCATTCCATTCCATTCCATTCCATTCCATTCCATTCAACTCGGTTTGATTCCTTTCCATTCTATTCCTTTGCATTCCATTCCATTCCATTCCATTCCTCTCGGGTTGATTCCATTAAATTCCATTCCCTTTTATTCCATTCCATTCCATTCCATTGCATTCCATTCCATTCCATTCCATACCATTCCACCAAAGTTGATTGCATGCTATTCCATTCCATTCCATTCCATTCCGTTCCTTTCCACTTGGGTTGATTCCATTCCATTCAATTCCGTTCCATTCCGTTCCGTTCCGTTCCGTTCCATTCCATTCCATTCCATTCCATTCCATTCCATTCCATTTCATTCCATTGCATTCCACTCGGGTTGTTTCCATTCCATTCCATTCCATTCCATTCCATTCCATTCCATTCCATATTCCATTCCATACCCTTCGGGTTGATTTCTTTCCATTCCATTCCTTTCCATACCATTCCACTCCATTCCATTCCATTCCATTCCTTTCTTGTTGATTCCATTCCATTGAATTTCTTTCCATTCCAATCCATTCCATTCCATTCCATTCCATTCCATTCCATTCCATTCCATTCTATTCCACTCGAGTTAATTCCATTCCTTTGAATTCCATGGCTTTCCATTCCATTCCATTCCATTCCATTCCATTCCTTTTCATTCTATTACACTCGGGTTGTTTCCATTCCATTCATTTCTTTTCCATTCCATTCCATTCCTCTCCATTCCACTCATGTTTATTCCATTCTTTCCATTCCATTCCATTCCATTGCATTCCATTCCAGTTGATTCCATAGCATTCCACTCCATTCCATTCCATTCTATTCCTTTCCATTCCACTCGGGTTGATTCCATTCCATTCCATTCCATTGCATTCCATTCCAGTTGATTCCATAGCATTCCACTCCATTCCATTCCATTCTATTCCTTTCCATTCCACTCGGGTTGATTCCATTCCATTCCATTCCATTCCATTCCATTCCGTTCCACTCGGGTTGATCCATTCCATTCCATTCCATTCCATTCCATTCCATTCCATTCCATTTCACTCGAGTTGATGCCATTCCATTCCAATCCATTTTATTCCTTTCCATTCCATTCGGTTCCATTCCATACCATTCCACTCGGGTGGATTCCATAACATTCCATTCCATTCCATTCCATTCCTTTCCATTCCATTCCATTCCACTCGTGTTGATTCCATTCCATTGCTTTCCATTCCATTCCATTCCATTCCATTCGGGTTGATTCCGTTCCATTCCATTCCATTTCATTTCATTCCATTCCATTCCATTCCATTACACTCCTTTCCATTCCATTCCACTCCATTCCATTCCATTCCTTTCCACCCAGATTGATTCCATTCTATTCCATTGCATTCCGTTCCGTTCCATTCCAGTTGATTCCAATGCCTTCCATTCCATTGCATTCCATTCCACTCCATTCCACTCTGGTTGATTCCATTCCATTCCGTTCCATTCCATTCCATTCCATTCCATTCCATTCCATTGCACTCCTGTTGATTCCATTCCATTTCTTTCCATTCCATTTCACTCGGGTTGATTCCATTCCATTCCGATCCATTTTATTCCATTCCATTCCATTCCATACCTTTCCATTCCACACGGGTTAATTCCATTCCATTCCATTGCATTCCATTGCATTCCATTCTATTCCATTCCATTCAGGTTGATTCCTTTCCATTCCTTTCCATCCCATTCCATTCCACTGCATTCCATTCCATTCAATGCAATTCCATTCCATTCCACTCCATTCCATTCCACTCGTGTTCATTCCATTCCATTCCATTCCATTCTGTCCCGTTCCTTTCCATTCTATTCCGTTCCATTCCATTCCCTCACACTCATGTTCATTCCATTCCGTTCCGTTCCATTCCATTCCATTCATTTCCATTCCTTTCCATTGCACTCCACTCGGGTTGATTCCATTCCATTCCATTCTATTCCATTCCGTTCAATTCAATTCAATTCCATTCCATTCCATTGCATTCCAGTTCATTCCATTCCTTTCCATTAAATTCCATTCCATTCCCTTCCATTCCATTCCATTCCCTTCCATTCCATTCCATTCAATTCACTTCCGTTGCGTTGGAATCGGGTTGATTCCAATCCATTCCATTACATTCCAGTCTTTTCCATTCCATTCCATTCCACTCGGTTTGTTTCCATTACGTTGAATTGCATTCCATTCCATTCCATTCCATTCCATTCCACTGAAATTCATTGCATTTCATTCCACTCGGTTTGTTTCCTTTCCATTCCATTAGTTTCCAATAAATTCCATTCCATTCATTCCATTCCATTCCATTCCACTCAGGTTGATTCCGTTCCATTCCATTGCATTCCATTCCATTCTAGTTGATTCCATTGCATTCCGTGCTGTTCCATTCCATTCCACTCCATTCGAATCCATTCAACTTCGGTTGATTCCATTCCATTCCATTCCATTCAATTCCCTTCCATTGCATTCCACTCGGGTTGATTCCATTCCATTCCATTGCATTCCATTCCATTCCATTCCATTGCACTTCCTTCCATTCCAGTTGATTCCATTCCATTCCATTCCATTCCATTCCATTCCACTCTGGTTGACTACATTCCATGCCATTGCATTCCGTTGCCTTCCATTCCTTTCTATTACATTCCATTCTTTTCTATTCCATTCCTTTCCACTCGAGTTGATTCCATTCCATTCTATTCCATTCCATTCTATTCCATTCCGTACCGATCCATTCCATTCCATTCCATTCCATTTCAATCGGGTGGATTCCATTCCATTCAATTCTATTCCATTCCATTTCATTCCATTCCGCTCGGATGATTCCATTCCATTCCATTCCATTCCATTGAAATTCATTTCATTGCATTCCAGTTGAATCCATTGGATTCGATTCCGTTCCATTCCATTCCATTCCACTCGAGTTGATTCCACTCCGTTCCATTAGATTACATTCCATTTCATTCCTATCGGGTGGATTCCATTCCATTCCATTCCATTCCACTCCGGTTGATTCCATTCCGTTCCTTTCCATTCCATTCCATTCCATTCCATTCCGTTCCGTTCCATTCCATTCGTGTTGATTCCATTCCATTCCACACCAATGCATTCCATTCCATTCAAATCCACTCGCATTCAATCTATTACATTGAATTTCATTCCGTTCTGTTCCATTCCATTCCATTCCATTCCATTAAATTCCATTCCATTCTGTTCCACTCGGGTACATTCCATTCCATTCCATTCCATTCCATTCCATTCCATTAGTTTCTAATGTGGTTGATTCCAATCAATTCCATTATATTCAAGTCCTTTCCATTCCATGCAATTCCACTCGAGTTCTTTCCATTTTGTTGTATTCCATTCCATTCCATTCCATTCCATTCCATTCCATTCCTTTCCATTCCATTCCATTCCATTCCATACCATTCCATCAAAGTTGATTGCATGTTATTCCATTCTATTCCATTCCATTCCATTCCATTCCATTCCATTCCATTCCATTCCACTCCATTCCTTTCCACTCGGGTTGATCCCATTCCATTCAATTCCGTTCCTTTCCGTTCCATTCCATTCCATTCCATTTCATTCCATTGCATTCCACTCGGGTTGATTCCATTCCATTCCATTCCATTCCATTCCCTTCGGGTTGATTCCTTTCCATTCAATTCCATTCCATACCATTCTATTCCATTCCGTTCCATACCATTCGGGTTGATTCCGTTCCATTCCATGCCCTTTTATTCCATTCCATTCCATTCCATTCCCTTCCATACCATTCCATCAAAGTTGATTGCATGTTATTCCATTCCATTCCATTCCATTCCATTCCATTCCATTCCATTCCGTTCCGTTCCCTTCCATTCCGTTCCATTCCATTCCATTCCATTCCACTCGTGTTGATTTCATTCCTTTCAATTTCGTTCCGTTCTATTCCGATCCATTCCATTCCATTTCATTCCATTGCTTTCCATTCGTGTTGATTCCTTTCCATTCCATTCCATTCCATACCATTCCACTCCATTCCGTTCCATTCCATTCGGGTTGATTCCGTTCCATTCCATGACCTTTTATTCCATTCCATTCCATTCCATTCCATTCCATTCCATTCCATTCCATACCATTCCACCAAAGTTGATTGCATGTTATTCCATTTCATTCCATTCCATTCCATTCCATTCCATTCCATTCCATTCCTTTCCTCTCGGGTTGATTCCATTCCTTTCAATTCCGTTCCGTTCCGTTCCGTTCCATTCCATTGCATTTCATTCCATTGCATTCCACTCGGGTTGATTCCATTCCATTCCATTCCATTCTATTCCATACCCTTCGGGTTGATTCCTTTCCATTCCATTCCATTCCATACCATTCCACTCCATTCCGTTCCATTCCATTCCGGTTTATTCCATTCCGTTCCATTCCGTTCCATTCCATTCCATACCATTCCACTAGGGTTGATTCCATACCATTCCATTCCATGCATTCCATTCCATTCCATTCCACTCGGGTTGATTCTATTCCATTCCATTCCTTTCCGTTCCATTCCTTTCCACTCGGGTTGATTTCATTCCATTCAATTCCGTTCCATTCCATTCCGTTCCATTCCATTCCATTTCATTCCATTGTATTCCACTCGTGTTGATTCCATTCCATTCCACTCCATTGCATTCCATTCCATTCCATTCCATACCGTTCGATTTGATTCCTTTCCATTCCATTCCATTCCGTACCATTCCACTCCATTCCGTTCCATTCCATTCGGGTTGATTCCGTTCCATTCCATGATCTTTTATTCCATTCCATTCCATTCCATTCCATTCCATTCCATTCCATTCCATACCATACCATTCCACCAAAGTTGATTGCATGTTATTCCATTTCATTCCATTCCATTCCATTCCATTCCATTACTTTCAACTCTGGTTGAGTCCATTCCTTTCAATTCCGTTCCATTCCGTTCCGTTCTGTTCCATTCCATTCCATTTCATTCAATTGCATTCCACTCGGGTTGATTCCATTCCATTCCATTCCATTCTATTCCATACCATCCGCGTTGATTCCTTTCCATTCCATTCCAATCCGTACGATTCCACTCCATTCCGTTCCATTCCATTCTGGTTAATTCCATTCCGTTCCATTCCGTTCCATTCCATTCCATACCTTTCCACTAGGGTTGATTCCATTCCATTCCATTCCGTTCCATTCCATTCCACTGCATTCCATTACATTCCATTCCACTCCAGTTAATTCCGTTCCTTTCCATTCCAATCCATTCCATTCCATTGGGGTCTATTCCATTCCATTCCATTCCATTCCATCCCATTCCGTTCCGTTCCTATCCATTCCATTCCATTCCATTCCATTCCATTCCATTCCATTCCATTCATTCCTTTCCATTCCATTCCATTCCACTCGGGTTGATTCCATTCCATTCCATTCCATTCCATTCCATTCCATTAAATTCCATTCCATTCCATTACACTCGGGTAGATTCCATTCCATTCCATTCCTTTCCATTCCATTCCATTCCACTCCTTTCCATTAGTTGCTAATCGGGTTGATTCCAATACATTCCATTATATTCAAGTCCTTTCCATTCCATGCCATTCCACTCGGGTTGTTTCCTTTTTGTTGTATTCCATTCCATTCCATTCCATTCCATTGCATTCCCTTCCATTCCATTCCATTCCATTCCATTCCATTGCATTCCATTCCACTCGGGTTGTTTCCTTTCCGTTGCATTAGTTTCCATTCCATTCCATTCCTTTCCATTCCATTCCACTCAGGGTGATTCCATTCCTTTCCATTCCAATTCTTTCCATTCCTGTTGATACCATTGCATTGCATTGTTTCCATTCCATTCCATTCCATTCCATTCCACTCGGTTTTATTCATTTCCATTCCATTCCATTCCATTCAATTCCATTCCATTCCATTCCATTGCATTCCATTCCACTCGTGTTGTTTCCTTTCCGTTCCATTAATTTCCATTCCATTCCATTCCTTTCCATTCCATTCCACTCAGGGTGATTCCATTGCTTTCCATTCCAATTCTTTCCATTCCAGTTGATACCATTGCATTGCATTGTTTCCATTCCATTCCATTCCACTCGGTTTTATTCATTTCCATTCCATTCCATTCCATTCCATTCCATTCCATTCCATTCCATTCCATTCATGTCGGGTTGATTCCATTCCATTTCATTCCCTTTTATTCCATTCCATTCCATTCCATTCCATTCCATACCATTCCACCAAAGTTGATTGCATGCTATTCCATTCCATTCCATTCCATTCCATTCCATTCCATTCCATTCATGTCGGGTTGATTCCATTCCATTTCATTCCCTTTTATTCCATTCCATTCCATTCCATTCCATACCATTCCACCAAAGTTGATTGCATGCTATTCCATTCCATTCCATTCCATTCCATTCCATTCCGTTCCTTTCCACTTGGGTTGATTCCATTCCATTCAGTTCTGTTCTGTTCCGTTCCGTTCCTTTCCATTCCATTCCATTCCATTTCATTCCATTGCATTCCATTCCATTCCATTCCATTCCATTCCATTCCATACCCTTCGGGTTGATTCCTTTCCATTCCATTCCATTCCATACCATTCCACTCCATTCCATTCCATTCCATTCCATTCTGGTTGATTCCATTCTGTTGAATTTCTTTCCATTCCAATCCATTGCATTCCATTCCATTCCATTCCATTCCATTCCATTCCATTCCATTCCATTCCATTCTATTCCACTCGAGTTAATTCCATTCCTTTGAATTCCATTGCTTTCCATTCCTTTCCATTCCATTCCTTTTCATTCTATTACACTCGGGTTGTTTCCATTCCATTCATTTCTTTTCCATTCCATTCCATTCCATTCTTTTCCATTCCACTCATGTTGATTCCATTCTTTCCAATCCATTCCATTCCATTCCATTCCATTCCATTCCATTCCAGTTGATTCCATTGCATTCCATTCCATTCCATTCCGTTCTATTCCTTTCTGTTCCACTCGGGTTGATTCCATTCCATTCCATTCCATTCCATTCCATTCCATTCCATTCCATTCCCTTCCATTCCATTGCACTCGGGTTGATGCCATTCCATTCCAATCCATTTTATTCCTTTCCATTCCATTCCATTCCATACCATTCCACTGGAGTGGATTCCATAACATTCCATTCCATTGCATTCCGTTCCTTTCCATTCCATTCCATTCCACTCGTGTTGTTTCCATTCCATTCCTTTCCATTCCATTCCATTCCATTCCTTTCCATTTGGGTTGATTCCGTTCCATTCCATTCCATTCCATTACACTCCATTCCATTCCATTCCATTCCACTCCATTCCATTCCATTCAATTCAATTCCACTCCATTCCAATCCACTCGTTTTCATTCCATTCCATTCCATTCTTTCCCGTTCCTTTCCATTCTATTCCGTTGCATTCCACTCCCTTACACTCGTGTTCATTCCATTCCGTTCCGTTCCATTCCATTCCATTCATTTCCATTCCTTTCCATTGCACTCCACTTGGGTTGATTCCATTCCATTCCATTCTATTCCATTCCGTTCAACTAAATTCCATTCCATTCCATTCCATTGCATTCCAGTTCATTCCATTCTTTTCCATTCTATTCCATTCTTTTCCATTCTATTCCATTCCCTTCCATTCCATTCCATTCAATTCTATTCCGTTGCATTGGAATCGGGTTGATTCCAATCCATTCCATTACATTCCAGTCTTTTCCATTCCATTCCATTCCACTCGGTTTGTTTCCATTACGTTGAATTGTATTCCATTCCATTCCATTCCATTCCATTCCACTGAAATTCATTGCATTTCATTCCACTCGGTTTGTTTCCTTTCCATTCCATTAGTTTCCAATAAATTCCATTCCTTTCATTCCATTCCATTCCATTCCACTCAGGTTGATTCCGTTCCATTCCATTCCATTCCATTCCATTCTAGTTGATTCCATTGCTTTCCGTGCTGTTCCATTCCATTCCACTCCATTCGAATCCATTCCACTTGGGTTGATTCCATTCCATTCCATTCCATTCAATTACCTTCCATTGCGTTCCACTCGGGTTGATTCCATTCCATTCCATTGCATTCCATTCCATTCCATTGCATTGCATTTCCTTCCATTCCAGTTGATTCCATTCCATTCCATTCCATTCCATTCCATTCTATTCCACTAGGGTTAATTTCATTCGATTCCATTCCATTCCTGTTTTCCCTTCCATTCCATTCCATTCCATTCCACTCGGGTTGACTACATTCCATGCCATTGCATTCCATTGCATTCCATTCGTTTCTATTACATTCCATTCTTTTCTATTCCATTCCTTTCCACTCGAGTTGATTCCATTACATTCTATTGCATTCCGTACCGATCCATTCCATTCCATTCCATTCCATTTCAATCGGGTTGATTCCATTCCATTCAATTCTATTCCATTCCATTCCAATCGGGTTGATTCCATTCCATTCAATTCTATTCCATTCCATTCCAATCGGGTTGATTCCATTCCATTCAATTCTATTCCATTCCATTCCATTCCATTCCACTCGGATGATTCCATTCCATTCCATTCCATTCCATTTAAATTCATTGCATTGCTTTCCAGTTGAATCCATTGGATTCGATTCCGTTCCTTTCCATTCCATTCCACTCGAGTTGATTCCACTCCGTTCCATTGGATTACATTCCACTTCATTCCTATCAGGTGGATTCCATTCCATTCAATTCCATTCCACTCCGGTTGATTCCATTCCATTCCTTTCCATTCCATTCCATTCCATTCCATTCCGTTCCATTCCATTCGTATTGATTCCATTCCATTCCACTCCAATCCATTCCATTCCATTCCAATCCATTCCATTCCATTCAAATCCACTCGCATTCAATCTATTCCATTGCATTTCATTCCGTACTGTTCCATTCCATTCCTTTCCATTCCATTCCATTCCATTCCACTCGGGTTGTTTCCATTCCATTCCTTTCCATTTCATTCTATTCCATTCCATTCCATTCCATTCCATTCCATTCCATTCCATTCCATTCTATTCCATTCCATTCCATTCCATTCCATTCCATTCCATTCTATTCCATTCCACTCCATTCCATTCCATTCCTCTCCGGTTATACCATTCAATTCTGTTCCATTCCACTCGGATTTTTCCATTCCATTGCATTCCATTTTATTCCATTCCATTCCATTCCATTCCATTAAATTCCATTCCATTCCGTTCCACTCGGGTAGATTCCATTCCATTCCATTCCATTCCATTCCATTCCATTCCATTCCATTAGTTTCTAATGTGGTTGATTCCAATCCATTCCATTATATTCAAGTCCTTTCCATTCCATGCCATTCCACTCGAGTTCTTTCCATTTTGTTGGACTCCATTCCATTCCATTCCATTCCATTCCATTCCTTTCCTTTCCATTCCATTCCATCCCATTCCATACCATTCCATCAAAGTTCATTGCATGTTATTCCATTCCATTCCATTCCATTCCATTCCATTCCACTCCCTTCGTTTCCACTCGGGTTGATTCCATTCCATTCAATTCCCTTCCTTTCCGTTCCATTCCATTCAATTCCATTTCATTCCATTGCATTCCACTCGGGTTTATTCCATTCCATTCCATTCCATTCCATTCCATTCCAATCCATTCCATTCCATTCCATTCGGGTTGATTCTTTTCCATTCCATTCCATACCATTTCACTCCATTCCGTTCCATTCCATTCGGGTTGATTCCGTTCCATTCCTTGCCCTTTTATTCCTTTCCATTCCATTCCATTCCCTTCCATACCATTCCACCAAAGTTGATTTCATGTTATTCCAATCCATTCCATTCCATTCCATTCCATTCCATTCCATTCCATTCCATTCCATTCCACTCGGGTTGATTTCATTCCACTCATTTCCATTCCGCTCCATTCCGATCCATTCCATTCCATTTCATTCGTTTGCTTTCCACTCGTGTTGATTCCATTCCATTCCATACCCTTCGAGTTGATTCCTTTCCATTCCATTCCATTCCATACCATTCCACTCCATTCCGTTCCATTCCATTCGGGTTGATTCCATTCCATTCCATGACCTTTTATTCCATTCCATTCCATTCCATTCCATTCCATACCATTCCACTCCATTCCGTTCCATTCCATTCGGGTTGATTCCATTCCATTCCATGACCTTTTATTCCATTCCATTCCATTCCATTCCATTCCATTCCATTCCATTCCATACCATTCCACCAAAGTTGATTGCATGTTATTCCATTTCATTCCATTCCATTCCATTCCATTCCATTCCTTTCCACTCGGGTTGATTCCATTCCTTTCAATTCCGTTCCGTTCCGTTCCATTCCATTCCATTTCATTCCATGGCTTTCCACTCGGGTTGATTCCATTCCATTCCATTGCATTCTATTCCATACACTTAGGGTTGATTCCTTTCCATTCCATTCCATTCCATACCATTCCACTCCATTCCGTTCCATTCCATTCGGGTTGATTCCCTTCCGTTCCATTCCGTTCCATTCCATTCCATACCATTCCACTATGGTTGATTCCATACCATTCCATTCCATTGCATTCCATTCCATTCCATTCCACTCGGGTTGATTCCATTCCATTCCATTCCATTCCATTCCATTCCTTTCCACTCGGGTTGATTTCATTCCATTCAATTCCGTTCCGTTCCATTCCGTTCCATTCCATTCCATTTCATTCCATTGCATTCCACTCATGTTGATTCCATTCCATTCCATTGCATTCCATTCCATTCCATTCCATAGCCTTCGAGTTGATTCCTTTCCATTCCATTCCATTCCACACCATTCCAATCCATTCCGTTCCATTCCATTCGGGTTGATTCCGTTCCATTCCATGACCTTTTATTCCATTCCATTCCATTCTATTCCATACCATTCGGGTTGATTCCTTTCCATTCCATTCCATTCCATACCATTCCACTCCATTCCGTTCCATTCCATTCGGGTTAAGTCCATTCCGTTCCATTCCATTCCATTCCATTCCATACCATTCCACTAGGGTTGATTCCATACCATTCCATTCCATTGCATTCCATTCCATTCCATTCCACTCAGGTTGATTCCATTCCATTCCATTCCGTTCCATTCCATTCCACTGCATTCCATTACATTCCATTCCACTCCAGTTAATTCCGTTCCATTCCATTGCAATCCATTCCATTCCATTGGGTTCCATTCCATTCCATTCCATTCCGTTCCGTTCCGATCCATTCCATTAAATTCCATTCCATTCCATTCCATTCCATTCCATTCATTCCTTTCCATTCCATTCCATTCCACTCGGGTTGATTCCATTCCATTCCATTCCATTCCATTCCATTAAATTCCATTCCATTCCATTCCACTCGGGTAGATTCCATTCCATTCCATTCCATTCCATTCCATTCCATTCCACTCCTTTCCATTAGTTTCTAATCGGGTTGATTCTAATCCATTCCATTATATTCAAGTCCTTTCCATTCCATGCCATTCCACTCGGGTTCTTTCCATTTTGTTGTATTCCATTCCATTCCATTCCATTCCATTCCATTCCATTCCATTCCATTCCATTGCATTCCACTCGGGTTGTTTCCACTCCGTTCCATTAGTTTCCATTCCATTCCATTCCTTTCCATTCCATTCCACTCAGGGTGATTCCATTCCTTTCCATTCCAATTCTTTCCATTCCAGTTGATACCATTGCATTGCATTGTTTCCATTCCATTCCATTCCATTCCATTCCACTCCGTTTTATTCATTTCCATTCCATTCCATTCCATTCCATTCCATTCCATTCCGTTCCTTTCCACTTGGGTTGATTCCATCCCATTCAGTTCCGTTCTGTTCCGTTCCGTTCCTTTCCATTCCATTGCATTTCATTCCATTGCATTCCACTCGGGTTGATTCCATTCCATTCCATTCCATTCCATTCCATTCCATTCCCTTCGGGTTGATTCCTTTCCATTCCATTCCATTCCATACAATTCCACTCCATTCCATTCCATTCTGGTTGATTCCATTCCGTTGAATTTCTTGCCATTACAATCCATTCCTTTCCATTCCATTCCATTCCATTCTATTCCACTCGAGTTAATTCCATTCCTTTGAATTCCATTGCTTTCCATTCCATTCCATTCCATTCCTTTTCATTCTATTACACTTGGGTTGTTTCCTTTCCATTCATTTCTTTTCCATTCCATTCCATCCTTTTCCATTCCACTCATGTTGATTCCATTCTTTCCATTCCATTCCATTCCATTCCATTCCATTCCATTCCACTCCAGTTGATTCCATTGCATTCCATTCCATTCCATTCCGTTGTATTCCTTTCCATTCCACTCGGGTTGATTCCATTCCATTCCATTCCATTCCATTCCATTCCATTCCATTCCATTTCACTCGGGTGATGCCATTCCATTGCAATCCATTTTATTCCTTTCCATTCCATTCCTTTCCATTCCGTTCCATTCCACTCGGGTGGATTCCATAACATTCCATTCCATTCCATTCCATTCCATTCCATTCCATTCCATTCCACTCGTGTTGATTCCATTCCATTCCTTTCCATTCCATACCATTCCATTCCATTCGGGTTGATTCAGTTCCATTCCATTCCATTTCATTCCATTCCATTCCATTCCATTACACTCCATTCCATTCCATTCCACTCCATTCCATTCCATTCCACTCCATTCCATTCCATTCATTTCCATTCCTTTCCATTGCACTCCACTCGGGTTGATTCCATTCCATTCCATTCTATGCCATTCCGTTCAATGAAATTCCATTCCATTCCATTCCATTGCATTCCAGTTCATTCCATTCCTTTCCATTCCATTCCATTCCCTTCCATTCCATTCCATTCCCTTCCATTCCATTCCATTCAATTCAATTCCGTTGCATTGGAATCGGGTTGATTCCAATCCATTCCATTACATTCCAGTCTTTTCCATTCCATTCCATTCCATTCGGTTTGTTTCCATTTCGTTGAATTGCATTCCATTCCATTCCATTCCATTGAAATTCATTGCATTCCATTCCACTCGGTTTGTTTCCTTTCCATTCCATTATTTTCCAATAAATTCCATTCCATTCATTCCATTCCATTCCATTCCACTCAGGTTGATTCCTTTCCATTCCATTCCATTCCATTCCATTCTAGTTGATTCCATTGCATTCCGTGGTGTTCCATTCCATTCCACTCCATTCGAATGCATTCCACTTGGGTTGATTCCATTCCATTCCATTCCTTTCAATTCCATTCCATTGCATTCCACTCGGGTTGATTCCATTCCATTCCATTGCATTGCATTCCATTCCATTCCATTTCCTTCCATTCCAGTTGATTGCATTCCATTCCATTCCATTCCATTCCATTCCATTCCATACCATTCCACCAAAGTAGATTGCATGCTATTCCTTTCCATTCCATTCCATTCCATTCCATTCCATTCCATTCCATTCATTTCCACTTGGGTTGATTCCATTCCATTCAATTCTGTTCCGTTCCATTCCGTTCTGTTCCATTCCATTCCATTCCATTCCATTTCATTCCATTGCATTCCACTCGGGTTGATTCAATTCCATTCCATTCCATTCCATTCCATTCCATTCCATTCCATTCCATACCCTTCGGGTTGATTCCTTTCCATTCCATTGCATTCCATACCATTCCACTCCATTCCATTCCATTCCATTCTGGTTGATTCCATTCCGTTGAATTTCTTTCCATTCCAATCCATTCCATTCCATTCCATTCCATTGCTTTCCATTCCATTCCATTCCATTAATTTTCTTTCTATTACACTCGGGTTGTTTCCATTCCATTCATTTCTTTTACATTCCATTCCATTCCTTTCCATTCCACTCATGTTGATTCCATTCTTTCCATTCCATTGCATTCCATTCCATTCCATTCCATTCCAGTTGATTCCATTGCATTCCATTCCATTCCATTCCATTCCATTCTATTCCTTTCCATTCCACTCGGGTTAATTCCATTCAATTCCATTTCGTTCCATTCCATTCCGTTCCACTCGGGTTGATTCCATTCCATTCCATTCCATTCCATTCCATTCCATTCCATTCCATTCCATTCCATTTCACTCGGGTTGATGCCATTCCATTCCAATCCATTTTATTCCTTTCCATTCCATTCCTTTCCATTCCATTCCATTCCACTCGGGTGGATTCCATAACATTCCATTCCATTCCATTCCATTCCTTTCCATTCCAATCCATTCCACTCGTGTTGATTCCATTCCATTCCTTTCCATTCCATTCCATTACATTCCATTCCGGTTGAGTCCGTTCCATTCCATTCCATTTCATTCCATTCCATTCCACTCCATTCCATTCCATTACACTCCATTCCATTCCATTCCACTCCATTCCATTCCATTCCATTCCACCCAGATTGATTCCTTTCTTTTCCATTGCATTCCGTTCCATTCCATTCCAGTTGATTCCAATGTCTTCCATTCCATTCCATTCCATTGCATTCCATTCCACTCCATTCCACTCTGGTTGATTCCATTCCATTCCATTCCATTCCATTCCATTCCATTCCATTCCACTCGGGTTCATTCCATTCCATTGCTTTCCATTCCATTTCACTCGGGTTGATTCCATTCCATTCCGATCCATTTTATTCCATTCCATTCCATTCCATACCTTTCCATTCCACACGGCTTAATTCCATTCCATCCCATTCCATTCCATTCCATTCCATTCAGGTTGATTCCTTTCCATTCCATTCCATCCCATTCCATTCCGCTCCATTCCATTCCATTCAATTCAATTCCATTCCATTCCACTCCATTCCATTCCACTTGTGTTCATTCCATTCCATTCCATTCCATTCTATCCCGTTACTTTGCATTCTATTCCGTTCCATTCCATTCCCTCACACTCGTGTTCATTCCATTCCGTTCCTTTGCATTCCATTCCATTCATTTCCATTCCTTTCCATTGCACTCCACTCGGGTTGATTCCATTCCATTCCATTCTATTCCATTCCGTTCAATTAAATTCCATTCCATTCCATTCCATTGCATTCCAGTTCATTCCATTCGTTTCCACTCCATTCCATTCCCTTCCATTCCATTCCATTCCATTCCCTTCCATTCCATTCCATTCAATACTATTCCGTTGCATTGGAATCGGGTTGATTCCAATCCATTCCATTACATTCCAGTCTTTTTCATTCCATTCCATTCCACTCGGTTAGTTTCCATTACGTTGAATTGCATTCCATTCCATTCCATTCCATTCCATTCCATTGAAATTCATTGCATTTCATTCCACTCGGTTTGTTTCCTTTCCATTCCATTAGTTTCCAATAAATTCCATTCCATTCATTCCATTCCATTCCATTCCACTCAGGTTGATTCCGTTCCATTCCATTCCATTCCATTCCATTCTAGTTGATTCCATTGCATTCCGTGCTGTTCCATTCCATTCCACTCCATTCGAATCCATTCCACTTGGGTTGATTCCATTCCATTCTATTCCATTCCATTCAATTACTTTCCATTGCATTCCACTCGGGTTGATTCCATTCCATTCCATTGCATTCGATTCCATTCCATTCCATTGCATTTCCTTCCATTCCAGTTGATTCCACTCCATTCCATTCCATTCCATTCCATTCTATTCCACTAGGGTTAATTTCATTCGATTCCATTCCATTCCTGTTTTCCCTTCCGTTCCATTCCATTCCATTCCACACGGGTTGACTACATTCCATGTCATTGCATTCCATTGCATTCCATTCCTTTCTATTACATTCCATTCTTTTCTATTCCATTCCTTTCCACTCGAGTTGATTCCATTCCTTTCTATTCCATTCCGTATCGTTCCATTCCATTCCATTCCATTGCATTCCATTCCATTCCATTCCATTAGTTTCTTATCGGGTTGATTCCAATCCATTCCATTATATTCACGTCCTTTCCATTCCATGCCATTCCACTCGAGCTCTTTCTATTTTGTTGTATTCCATTCGATTCCATTCCATTCCATACCATTCCATCAAAGTTGATTGCATGTTATTCCATTCCATTCAATTCCATTCCATTCCATTCCATTCCATTCCATTCCATTCCATTCAATTCCATTCCATTCCATTCCATTCCATTCCATTCCATTCCATTCCATTCCTTTCCACTCGTGTTGATTCCATTCCATTCAATTCCGTTCCTTTCCGTTCCATTCCATTCCATTCCATTTCATTCCATTGCATTCCACTCGGGTTGATTCCATTCCATTCTATTCCATACCCTTCAGGTTGATTCCTTTCCATTCCATTCCATTCCATACCATTCCACTCTATTCCGTTCCATTCCATTCGAGTTGATTCCATTCCGTTCCATTCCGTTCCATTCCATTCCATACAATTCCACTCGGGTTGATTCCATACCATTCCATTCCATTGCATTCCATTCCATTCCATTCCACTCGGGTTGATTCCATTCCATTCCATTCCATTCCATTCCATTCCATTCCATTCCTTTCCACTCGGGTTGATTTCATTCCATTCAATTCCGTTCCATTCCTTTCCATTCCATTTCATTCCATTGCATTCCACTCGTGTTGATTCCATTCCCTTCCATTCCATTGCACTCCATTCCATTCCATTCCATACCCTTCGAGTTGATTCCTTTACATTCCATTCCATTCCATACCATTCCACTCCATTCTGTTCCATTCCATTCGGGTTGATTCCGTTCCATTCCATGAGCTTTTATTCCATTCCGTTCCATTCCATTCCATTCCATTCCATCCCATTCCATACCATTCCACCAAAGTTGATTGCATGTTATTCCATTTCATTCCATTCCATTCCATTCCATTCCATTCCATTCCATTCCATTCCATTCCATTCCTTTCCACTCGGGTTGATTCCATTCCTTTCAATTCCGTTCCGTTCCGTTCCATTCCGTTCCATTCCATTCCATTTCATTCCATTGCATTCCACTAGGGTTGATTCCGTTCCATTCCATTCCATTCTATTCCATACCATTCGCGTTGATTCCTTTCCATTCCATTCCATTCCATACCATTACACTTTTTCCGTTCCATTCCATTCGGGTTGAATCCATTCCGTTCCATTCCGTTCCATTCCATTCCATATCATTCCACTAGGGTTGATTCCATACCATTCCATTCCATTGCATTCCATTCCATTCCATTCCACTCGGGTTGATTCCATTCCATTCCATTCCGTTCCATTCCATTCCACTGCATTCCTTTACATTCTATTCCACTGCAGTTAATTCCGTTCCATTCCATTCCATTCCATTCCATTCCACTCCATTCCATTCCATTCCGTTCCGTTCCGTTCCATTCCATTCAATTCCATTCCATTCAATTCCATTCATTCCTTTCCATTCCATTCCATTCCACTCGGGTTGATTCCATTCCATTCCATTCCATTCCATTCCATTAAATTCCATTCCATTCCATTCCATTAAATTCCATTCCATTCCATTCCACTCGGGTAGATTCCATTCCATTCCATTCCATTCCATTCCATTCCATTCCACTCCTTTCCATTAGTTTCTAATCGGGTTGATTCCAATCCATTCCATTATATTCAAGTCCTTTCCATTCCATGCCATTCCACTCAGGTTGTTTCCATTTTGTTGTATTCCATTCCATTCCTTTCCATTCCATTGCATTCCATTCCATTCCATTCCATTCCATTGCATTCCATTCCATTGCATTCCATTCCATTCCATTCCATTACATTCCATTACATTCCATTCCACTCGGGTTGTTTCCATTCCTTTCTATTAGTTTCCATTCCATTTCATTGCTTTCCATTCCATTCCACTCAGGGTGATTCCATTCCTTTCCATTCCAATTCTTTCCATTCCAGTTGATACCATTGCATTGCATTGTTTCCATTCCATTCCATTCCATTCCATTCCACTCGGTTTTATTCATTTCCATTCCATTCCATTCCATTCCATTCCGTTCCATTCCATTCCATTCCATTCCATTCCATTCATCTCGGCTTGATTCCATTCCATTCCATTCCCTTTTATTCCATTCCATTCCATTCCATTCCATACCATTCCACCAAATTGATTGCATGCTATTCCATTCCCTTCCATTCCATTCCATTCCATTCCATTCCGTTCCTTTCCACTTGTGTTGATTCCATTCCATTCAGTTCCGTTCTGTTCCGTTCCATTCCATTCCATTCCATTTCATTCCATTGCATTCCACTCGGGTTGATTCCATTCCATTCCATTCCATTCCATTCCATTCCATTCCATTCCATTCCATTCCCTTCGGGTTGATTCCTTTCCATTCCATTCCTTTCCATACCATTCCACTGCATTCCATTCCATTCCATTCCATTCCATTCCATTCCATTCCATTCTGGTTGATTCCATTCCGTTGAATTTCTTTCTATTCCAATCCATTCCATTCCATTCCAGTCCATTCCATTCTATTCCACTCGAGTTAATTCCATTCCTTTGAATTCCATTGCTTTCCATTCCATTCCATTCCATTCCTTTTCATTCTATTACACTCGGGTTGTTTCCATTCCATTCATTTCTTTTCCATTCCATTCCATTCTTTTCCATTCCATTCATGTTGATTCCATTCTTTCCGTTCCATTCCATTCTATTCCATTACAGTTGATTCCATTGCATTCCATTCCATTCCATTCCATTCTATTCCTTTCCATTCCAATCGGGTTGATTCCATTCCATTCCATTCCATTCCATTCCATTCCGTTCCACTCCGGTTGATTCCATTCCATTCCATTCCATTCCATTCCATTCCACTCGGTTTGATACCATTCCATTCCAATCCATTTTATTCCTTTCCATTCCATTCCATTCCATACCATTCCACTCGGGTGGATTCCATAACATTCCATTCCATTGCATTCCGTTCCTTTCCATTCCATTCCATTCCACTCGTGTTGATTCCATTCCATTCCTTTCCATTCCATTCCATTCCATTCCATTCCATTCCATTCCATTCCATTCCATTTGGGTTGATTCCGTTCCATTCCATTCCATTTCATTCCATTCCATTCCATTCCATTCCACTCCATTCCATTCCATTCAATTCAATTCCATTCCATTCCTCTCCATTCCATTCCACTCGTGTTCATTCCATTCCATTCCATTCTTTCCCGTTCCTTTCCATTCTATTCCGTTCCATTCCATTCCCTTACACTCGTGTTCATTCCATTCCATTCCGTTCCATTCCATTCCATTCATTTCCATTCCCTTCCATTGCACTCCACTCGGGTTGATTCCATTCTATTCCATTCTATTCCGTTCCATTCCATTCCCTTACACTCGTGTTCATTCCATTCCGTTCCATTCCATTCCATTCCATTCATTTCCATTCCCTTCCATTGCACTCCACTCGGGTTGATTTCATTCCATTCCATTCTATTCCATTCCGTTCAATTAAATTCCATTCCATTCCATTCCATTGCATTCCAGTTCATTCCATTCCTTTCCATTCCATTCCATTCCCTTCCATTCCATTCCATTCCCTTCCATTCCATTCCATTCAATTCTATTCCGTTGCATTGGAATCGGATTGATTCCAATCCATTCCATTTCATTCCAGTCTTTTCCATTCCATTCCATTCCACTTGGTTTGTTTCTATTACGTTGAATTGCATTCCATTCCATTCCATTCCCTTCCATTCCATTCCATTCCATTCCATTCCATTCCATTGAAATTCATTGCATTCCATTCCACTCGGTTTGTTTCCTTTCCATTCCATTAGTTTCCAATAAATTCCATTCCATTCATTCCATTCCATTCCATTCCACTCAGGTTGATTCCGTTCCATTCCATTCCATTCCATTCCTTTCCACTCGGGTTGACTTCATTCCATGCCATTGCATTCCATTGCATTCCATTCTTTTCTATTACATTCCATTCTTTTCCATTCCATTCCTTTCCACTCGAGTTGATTCCATTCCATTCTATTCCATTCCCTACCATTCCATTCCATTCCATTCCATTCCATTCCATTCCATTTCAATCGGGTTGATTCCATTCTGTTCAATTCTATTTCATTCCATTCCATTCCTTGCCACTCGGGTTAATTCTATTCCATTCCATGCCATTGCATTCCCTTCCATTCCATTCTACTCGGATGATTCCATTCCATTCCATTCCACTCGGGATAACTCCATTCCATTCCAATCCATTCCTCTCGGGTTGATTCCATTCCATTCCATTCCAATCCATTCCATTCAATTCCATTCCATTCCATTCCATTCCATTCCATCCATTCCATTCCTTTCCATTTGATTCCATTCCATTGAATTCCATTCCATTCCTTTCCATTCCAATCCTTTCCATTCGGGTTGATTCCATTCCGTTCCATTCCATTCTTATGGTTTCCTATAAATTTTAGGATTTTGTTTCCATTTCTCTGAAGTGTGTTATTAGTATTTCAATAAGGATTGCATTGAATCTGTAGATTGCTTTGTGAAGTATGGGTATTTTAATAATATTTACTCTTCCAATAAATGAACATGGACAATCTTTCTAGTTTTTTTGTGTCCTCTTTAATTTTTTGCATCGATATTTTATACTTTTCATTGTAGAGATCTTTCACTTCTTCTGTTATGTTTATTCCCAGTTATTTTATTTTATTTGTCGCTATTGTAAATGGGATTACATTCTTGATTTTCTTCTTTAGATTGTTCATTTTTTTCATTTAGAAATGCTACTCACTTTTGTAGCTTGATTTTTTATGTTGTGACTGTGAATTTGTTGATTAGTTCTAATAGTTTTTTGGTGGAGTCCTTACGTTTTTCCAAATATAAGATCAAGTCATCTGCAAACAATAAAACATTAATAATTTTACTTCTTTCCAATGTGCATCCCTTTTATTGTTTTTCTCTTGTCTGAATTGCTCTAGCTAGGACTTCCTGTACTGTGTTGAGTAACAGTGTTGGAAGTGGACATTCTTGTCTTGTTCCATAACTTAGAAGAAAGGCTTTCAGCTTTTCCCTGTTCAGGATGATACTGGCTGTGGGTCTGATGCATTTGGTTTTTATTGTGTTGTGTTATGTTCCTTCTATATCTAGTTTTTTTTTGAGGGTTTCTTTTTATCACAGGGATGTTGAATTTTATTAAATGCTTTTCTGTATCTATTGAAATTATCATATGGTTTTTGTCCTTCATTCTGTTGATATGATGTGTCACATTGAGTGATTTGCATATGTTGAACCATGTTGGCATCATCGGGATAAATCTCACTTAGACGTGATGAATTGTCTTTTTCATAGGATGTGTTTGGAAATACTACAGCCTTCTCTGTTTTTTGGGATAGTTTGGGTAGGATTGATAGTAATTCTGCCTTCAATGTTTGGTAAAATTAATCCATGAAGCCAGTGAAGCCATTGAATCCAGGCTTTTCTTTGCTAGGAGATGTTTTATTATGGCTTCAATTTCATTTATCCATTTCTTCTAGGTTTATTTTTTTGAGATGGAATCTTGCTCTGTCACCCAGGCTGCTTCGTGGTACAATCTCAGCTCACTACAGCCTCTGCCTCCCAGGTTCAAGTGATTTTCCTGCCTCAGCCTCTGGAGTAGCTGGAAGTACAGGTGCATGCCAACATACCTGGCTAATTTTTGTATTTGTAGTAGAGATGGGGTTTCACCATGTTGGCCAGGCTGGTCTTGAACTCCTGACCTCAGGTGATCACCTGCCTTGGCTTCCCAAAGTGTTGGGATTACAGGCATGAGCCACGGTGCCCAGCCATTTCTTCCAGGTTTTTCAATTTATTGGAATATAGTCAGTCATAATAGTTTCTAATGATTCTTTGAATTTCCACAGTATCAGTTATAGTGTCTCCTTTTCAATCTCTGGTTTTATGTATTGGAATCTTCTCTCTTTTTTCTTAGTCTGGTTAAATGTTTATTGATTTTGTTGGTCTTTTAAAAATATTAACTTTTCATTTCATTGATATTTTATATTGCTAAATTTCAATTTCATTTATTTCTGCTCCAACCTTTGCTATGTTTCCTTCTACTAATTTTGGTTTTGGTTTGTTCTTGCTTTTCTAATTATTTAAGATGCATTATTAGGTTGTTTATTTGAAGCTTTTCTACTTTTTTTGATGTAGGTGATTTTTTCTATAAACTTACCTCTTAGTACTGTAGTACTGTTTTTACTGTATTCCATAGGTTTTTTTTTTTTAAATGGAGTCTCACTCTGTTTCCCAGGCTGGAGTGCAGTGACGCGATCTTGGCTCACTGCAAGCTCCGCCTCCTGGGTTCACGCCATTCTCCTGCCTCAGCCTCCCAAGTAGCTGGGACTACAGGCGCCCGCCTTCACGCCCGTCTTATTTTTGTTTTTTGTATTTTTAGTAGAGACGGGGTTTCACCGTGTTAGCCAAGATGGACTCAATCTCCTGACCCTATCATCCGCCCGCCTTGGCCTCCCAAAGTGCTGGGATTACAGGCATGAGCCACTGCGCCCGGCCTCTACCCTAGGTTTTGGTTTGACTTTAAACTTTTTCCTTTCTCGAAAACCCAGTGTCATGGTACTGGCTTCTTGTGCTTTGGGCAGTGAGTCCCTTTTACTTGATAACAGTGGTAGCTGGGACAATTTGGCAATGTAAATAAATAAACAGTATCTAGATTGGAAAAGAAGAAGTACAGTTATCTTTATGTACAGATGACATGATCTTGCATTTAGAAAATCGTAAGAAATTTACTAAAAAGTATTAGGACTCATGAACAAATTTAAGAATGTAACACTATATAAGATTGGTATACAAAAATAACTGTATTTCTTTACCAAGAAATCAAGAATCCAAAAATGGAATTACAAAAATAAATCTTGTTACAATAGAATTAAAGCTGGGGAAGCTTAAACTTGAACACTAAAAACTACAATACATGGTTAGCGTTGGAAACACCCAGATACCATCCCTGAGCCTTCTCTCCTTGGCTCTGAGGGCTTTACCTTCACGGGGTGAGGAAAGGGGTTGCATTCTTGGCTTTTACATTATATTAGGTGGGTTCGGGTTGAGGTATCTGCAATTCAAATGAGTATTACAATCTCTACTTTTATGGATAAGAGACTGAGGCCCACCAAGAGAAGGAATGACAGTCCATATCCTGGAAGGCGAATTGTCAGGCACTGATTTCCGCTATTTCACCCCTGCCAATCATCATGTATTTAAAGGATCCCCAGATACCATACCAATAGGTGTTCAAGAGAGAGGCCTGTAATCTAGGCGTCTGAGAAAACAAGGCTATAGATTCCAATATTAGAGACAACAGGGCTCTGGGAAGATTAAGGTTGAGTTTTCTGGATCTGCAGAATAGAGTCACTAAGGACCAATTGCAAGATCAGAGGAGATGAAAGAACAAGTCAAGGCATGCTTAGGAAAAGAGAATACCAGGGATAGGTTTTAGGCAAGAGTCACACTGAGGAAGGGCAGGTTCTTGGCGTCACTCAGGAAGAAATCCAAAAGCAAGCCTGTGGTGGAAGAAAGCAGCTCTACGGAGGCATTGGCTGTGTTACAACCCTGCATCCACTCCGGCAGGGCAGGGAGCCCTCCGTGGGTTGTGCTCCCAGAGCAGCAACCTAGGGGTGGCTTGTAGTCACTTTTATAATTCACTTTTAATGGCATGCTAATTAAGGGGAGGGTTATTCAGAAATAGCTAGAAATGGGCAGTAACTTCCATCTGTTTCCATGGCAAGGGGTGGGGACTTCTCGTGATGCCATAGCATTGGCAAACTGTTATGGCACTTGTGGGAGCGTCTTCTGGTGATCTGAGGTGTGAGGTGCTTTCGCTGCCTCTCCCAGTTTCCTGCGTGCCTCTTACCTGAAAGCCTATCAACACCCCCATCTGCCCACCTACAAACGTCACTGCCCTTTCACCCCACCCCCGTTTCACACGCACTCCCACATCAACCCTGAGCATTCAAACCTGCGTTTCCCTGCTAGGAACCTCGGTGGTAGCCAGAGCTCTGAGAAACCCCTAGGCAGAACTCCTTGCCTAGTTTGTGGCAGAAATCAGGGAAGGAAAGGCAAATTTCAGGTCTTTCTCACAATAAATAAATAAAGATAGGTAGATTTGATGGATGGATGGATGAAACGTGGGAGGCTACGGGCAAATATTTATCAGACACTGGAAGTGAAAGTTGTCACAAAGATTATGGAGTGCACCTGTCTTATGACCCTGTTATTTTATCCTAGTATATGCACTAGAGCATATTTTCTAACTGTGTAAATTGAAGGCTCACAAATTAGTTTAGTGAGAGAAAAGATAACAGATTGGAAGAGAATTACCATATTCATTAGTTGTGTTTTTAAAATTTTAAAGTAAAATAGAGACATGATTTTTTTCATGCTTTCGAATGCATCTATAAAAAATAGACTTGAGGGCTGGGCGCAGTGGCTCACGCTTGTAATCCCAGCACCTTGGGAGGCCGAGGAGGGCGGATCACCAGGTCAGGAGTTGGAGACCAGCCTGACCAACATGGTGAAAACCCGTCTCTACTAAAAATACAAAAATTAGGCGAGTGTGGTTGCGCACGCCTGTAATCCCAGGTACTTAGGAGGCTGAGGCAGGAGAATCGCTTGAACCCAGGAAGCGGAGATTGCACTGAGCCAAGATTGCACCATTGCATTCCAGCCTGGGCGACAGAGTGAGACTCCATCTCAAAAAAAAAAAAAGTTACTCATTAATAGCATAGACCAATTGGCCTCTATTGAAATTTCTCCATTATTTTCACAATGTCCCAGGCTGTGAAACCAGTATTTAATAAAGAACCAGAATGCCACATCTGTGTCAACTGGGTAGGGACCAGACCTGATACATTAAGTCCGGGTCTCTGGGTAACTGGACTCAACTGCTGGGCAAAACAGAATCTCCGGCGTGGGTTCCTAAAGGGGGACCGCAAAGCCTCATGGGAATTGTAGTGTCACCTTCCAATGATGTTACCATCAAGGACCTTGGGAACCAGGTTTTCTCTCTGCGCATGCGCCGCCCGGCCCACTTCGCCATTTTCCTCCGGAAGTGTGGCACCCAGAGGCGGTCCTGTAGCAATAAACATACGTGTGCATGTGTGTTTATAGCAGCATGTTTTATAGTCCTTTGGTTATATACCCACTAATGGGATGGCTGGATCAAATGGTATTTCTAGTTCCAGATACTTGAGGAATCACCACAATGACTTCCACAATCGTTGAACTAGTTTACAGTCCCACCAACAGTTTAAAAGTGTTTCTATTTCTCCACATCCTCTCCAGCACCTGTTGTTTCCTGACTTTTTAATGATTGTGATTCTAACTGGTGTGAGATGGTATCTCATTGTGGTTTTGATTTGCATTTCTCTGATGGCCAGTGATGATGAGCATTTTTTCATGTGTCTTTTGGCTGCATAAAGGTCTTCTTTTGAGAAGTGTCTGTTCATATCCTTCACCCACTTTTTGATGGGGTTGTATTTCTTTTCTTGTAAATTTGTTTAAGTTCGTTGTAGATTCTGGATATTAGCCCTTTGTCAGATGAGTAGGTTGCAAAAATTTTCTCCCATTTTGTAGGTTGCCTGTTCACTCTGATGGCAGTTTCTTTTGCTGTGCAGAAGTTCTTTAGTTTAATTAGATCCCATTTGTCAATTTTGGCTTTTGTTGCCATTGCTTCTGGTGTTTTAGATATGAAGTCCTTGCCCATGCCTATGTCCTGAATGGTAATGCCTAGTTTTACTTCTAGGGTTTTTATGGTTTCAGGTCTAACATTTAAGTCTTTAATCCATCTTGAATTAATTTTTGTATAAGGTGTAAGGAAGGAATCCAGTTTCAGTTTTCTACATATGGCTAGCCAGTTTTCCCAGCACCATTTATTAAATAGGGGATCCACTCCTTGTTTTTGTCAGGTTTGTCAAAGATCAGATAGTTGTAGATATGCGGCATTATTTCTGATGGCTCTGTTCTGTTCCATTGGTCTATATCTCTGTTTTGGTACCCGTACCATGCTGTTTTGGTTACTGTAGCCTTGTAGAATAGTTTGAAGTCAGGTAGGGTGATGTCTCCAGCTTTGTTCTTTTGGCTTAGGATTGACTTGGTGATGCATGCTCTTTTTGGTTCCATATGAACTTTAAAGTAATTTTTTCCAATTCTGTGAAGAAAGTCATTGGTAGCTTGATGGGGATGGCATTGAATCCATACATTACCTTGGGCAGTATGGCCATTTTCATGATATTGATTCTTCCTATCCATGAGTATGGAATGTTCTTCCATTTGTTTGTATCCTCTTTTATTTCATTGAGCAGTGGTTTGTAGTTCTCCTTGAAGAGGTCCTTCATGTCCCTTGTAAATTGGATTCCTAAGTATTTTAGTCTCTTTGTAGCAATTGCAAATGGGAGTTCACTCATGATTTGGCTCTCTGTTTGTCTGTTATTGGTGTATAAGAATGCTTGTGATTTTTGTACATTGATTTTGTATCCTGAGACTTTGCTGAGGTTACTTATCAGCTTAAGGAGATTTTGGGCTGAGACAATGGGGTTTTCTAGATATACAATCATGTCATCTGCAAACAGGGACAATTTCACTTCTTCTTTTCCTAATTGAATACCCTTTATTTCCTTCTCCTGCCTGATTGCCCTGGCCAGAACTTCCAACACTATATTGAATAGGAGTGAGGAGAGAGGGCATCCCTGTCTTGTGCCCGTTTTCAAAGGGAATGCTTCTAGTTTTTGCCCATTCAGTATGATATTGACTGTGGGTTTTTCATAGATAGCTCTTATTATTTTGAGATAAGTCCCATCAATACCTAATTTATTGAGAGTTTTTAGCATGAAGCATTGTTGAATTTTGTCAAAGGTCTTTTCTGCATCTATTGAGATAATCATGTGGTTTTTGTCTTTGGTTCTGTTTATATGCTGGATTACATTTATTGATTTGCGTATATTGAACCAGCCTTGCATCCCAGGGATGAAACCCACTTGATCATGGTGGATAAGCTTTTTGATGTGCTGCTGGATTCGGTTTGCCAGTATTTTATTGAGGATATTTGCATCAATGTTCGTCAAGGATATTGGTCTAAAATTCTATTTTTTTGGTTGTGTCTCTTCCTGGCTTTGGTATCAGGATGATGCTGGCCTCATAAATTGAGTTAGGGAGGACTCCTTCTTTTTTTATTGATTGGAATAGTTTCAGAAGGAATGGTACCAGTTCCTCCTTGTACCTCTGGTAGAATTTGGCTGTAAATCCATCTGGTCCTGGACTCTTTTTGGTTGGTAAACTATTGATTATTGCCACAATTTCAGATCCTGTTATTGGTCTATTCAGAGATTCAACTTCTTCCTGGTTTAGTCTTGGGAGAGTGTATGTGTGGAGGAATTTATCCATTTCTTCTAGATTTTCTAGTTTATTTGTGTAGAGGTGTTTGTAGTATTCTCTGATGGTAGTTTGTATTTCTGAGGGATCAGTGGTGATATCCCCTTTATCATTTTTATTGTGTCTATTTGATTCTTCTCTCTTTTTTTCTTTATTAGTCCTGCCAGCAGTGTATCAATTTTGTTGATCCTTTCATAAAACCAGCTCCTGGATTCATTAATTTTTTGAAGCATTTTTTTGTTGCTATTTCCTTCAGTTCTGCTCTGATTTTAGTTATTTCTTGCTTTCTGCTAGCTTTTGAATGTGTTTGCTCTTACTTTTCTAGTTCTTTTAATTGTGATGTTAGGGTGTCAATTTTGGATCTTTCCTGCTTTCCCTTGTGGGCATTTAGTGCTATAAATTTCCCTGTACACACTGCTTTGAATGTGTCCCAGAGATTCCGGTATGTTGTGTCTTTGTTATCGTTGGTTTCAAAGAACATCTTTATTTCTGCCTTCATTTTATTATGTACCCAGTAGTCATTCAGGAGCAGGTTGTTCAGTTTCCATGTAGTTGAGCAGTTTTCAGTGAGTTTCTTAATGCCGAGTTCTAGTTTGATTGCACTGTGGTCTGAGAGACAGTTTAATTTCTGTTCTTTTACATTTGCTGAAGAGGGCCTTACTTCCAAGTATGTGGTCAATTTTGGAATAGGTGTGGTGTGGTGCTGAAAAAAATGTATATTCTGTTGATTTGGGGTGGAGAGTTCTGTAGATGTCTGTTAGGTCCACTTGGTGCAGAGCTGAGTTCAATTCCTTGGTATACTTGTGAACTTTCTGTCTTATTGATCTGTCTAATGTTGACAGTGGGGTGTTAAAGTCTCCCATTATTATTGTGTGGGAGTCTAAGTCTCTTTGTAGGTCACTCAGGACTTGCTTTATGAATCTGGGTGCTCCTGTATTGGGTGCATATATATTTAGGATAGTTAGCTCTTCTTGTTGAATTGATCCCTTTACCATTATGTAATGGTCTTCTTTGTCTCTTTTGATCTTTGTTGGTTTACAGTCTGTTTCATCAGAGTCTAGGATTGCAACCCCTGCCTTTTTTTGTTTTCCATTTGCTTGGTAGATCTTCCTCCATCCTTTTATTTTGAGCCTATGTGTGTCTCTGCACGTGACATGGGTTTCCTGAATACAGCACACTGATGGGTCTTGACTCTTTATCCAATTATCCAGTCTGTGTCTTTTAATTGGAGCATTTAGTCCATTTACATTTAAAGTTAATATTGTTATGTGTGAATTTGATCCTGTCATTATGATGTTAGCTGGTTATTTTGCTCGTTAATTGACGCAGTTTCTTCCTAGTCTTGATGTTCTTTACAATTTGGCATGTTTTTGCAGTAGCTGGTACCGATTGTGCCTTTCCATGTTTAGTGCTTCCTTCAGGAGCTCTTTTAGGGCAGGCCTGGTGGTGACAAAATCGCTCAGCATTTGCTTTTCTGTAAAGTATTTTATTTCTCCTTCACTTATGAAGCTTAGTTTGGCTGGATATGAAATTCTGGGTTGAAAATTCTTTTCTGTAAGAATGTTGAATATTGGCCCCTACTCTCTTCTTTCTTGTAGAGTTTCTGCGAAGAGATCAGCAGTTATCTTGATGGGCTTCCCTTTATGGGTAACCTGACCTTTCTCTCTGGTTGCCCTTAACATTTTTTCCTTCATTTCAACTTTGGTGAATCTGACAATTATGTGTCTTGGAGTTGCTGTTCTCGAGGAGTATCTTTGTGGCGTTCTCTCTATTTCCTGAATCTGAATGTTGGCTGGCTTTGCTGGATTGGGGAAGTTCTCCAGGATAATATCCTGCAGAGTGTTTTCCAACTTGGTTCCATTCTCCCCGTCACTTTCAGGTACACCAATCAGATGCAGATTTGGTCTTTTCACATAGTCCCATATTTCTTGGAGGCTTTGTTCATTTCTTCTTATTCTTTTTTTTCTAAACTTCCCTTCTTGCTTCATTTCATTCATTTCATCTTTCATCACTGATACACTTTCTTCCAGTTGATCTCATCATCTCCTGAGGCTTCTGCATTCTTCACATAGTTCTCGAGCCTTGGCTTTCAGCTCCATTAGCTCCTTTAAGCACTTCTCTATATTGGTTATTCTAGTTATACATTCGTCTAAAGTTTTTTCAAAGTTTTCAACTTCTTTGCCTTTGGTTTGAATTTCCTCCTGTAGCTCGGAGTAGTTTGATCGTCTGAAGCCCTCTTCTCTCAACTCGTCAAAGTCATTCTCTGTCCAGCTTTGTTCCATTGCTGGTGAGGAACAGCGTTCCTTTGGCGGAGGAGAGGTGCTCTGCTTTTCAGAGTTTCCAGTTTTTCTGCTCTGTTTTTTCCCCATCTTTGTGGTTTTATCTACTTTTGGTCTTTGATGATGGTGATGTACAGGTGGGTTTTTGGTGTGGATGTCCTTTCTGTTTGTTAGTTTTCCTTCTAACAGACATGACCCTCAGCTTCAGGTCTGTTGGAGTTTGCTAGAGCCCCATTCCAGACCCTGTTTGCCTGACTATCAGCAGTGGTGTCTGCAAAACCATGGATTTTCGTGATCCGCGAATGCTGCTGTCTGATCGTTCCTCTGGAAGTTTTGTCTCAGAGGAGTACCTGGTCGTGTGAGGTGTCAGTCTGCCCCTACTGGGGGGTGCCTCCCAGTTAGGCTGCTTGGGGGTCAGGGGTCAGGGACCCACTTGAGGAGGCAGTCTGCCCATTCTCAGATCTCCAGCTGCGTGCTGGGAGAACCACTGCTCTCCTCAAAGCTGTCAGACAGGGACATTTAAGTCTGCAGAGGTTACTGCTGTCTTTTTGTTTGTCTGTGCCCTGCCCCCAGAGGTGGAGCCTGCAGAGGCAGGACGGCCTCCTTGAGCTGTGGTGGGCTCCACCCAGTTCGAGCTTCCTGGCTGCTTTGTTTACCTAAGAGAGCCTGTGCAATAGCCGGTGCCCCTCCCCAGCCTTGCTGCTGCCTTGCAGTTTGATCTCATACTGCTGTGTTAGCAATCAGTGAGACTCCGTATGCGTAGGACCCTCCGAGCCAGGTGCCAGATATAATCTCCTGGTGTGCCGTTTCCTATGCCCGTCAGAAAAGCACAGTGTTAGGGTGGGAGTGACCCGATTTTCCAGGTGCCGTCTGTCACCCCTTTCCTTGACCAGGAAAGGGAGCTAACTCCCTGACCCCTTGCACTTCCTGAGTGAGGCAATGACTCGCCCTGCTTCAGCTAGTGAGCAGTGCACTTCACCCACTGTCCTGCGCCCACTGTCTGGCACTCCCTAGTGAGATGAACCCAGTACCTCAAATGGAAATGCAGAAATCACCGGTCTTCTGCATCATTCATGCTGGGAGCTGTAGACTCGAGCTGTTCCTATTCGGCCATCTTGGCTCCTCCTCCCATTATTTTTTAATATTTTCTGAAAATCTTCTTTAAAGAGAGAAAGCCAAATGTCACCCACTTTTTCATAAAACCTTATAGGCCAATCTATTATTCTTTTCTTTTTTGGAGGTGGATTTTCCCTCTCGTTGCCCAGGCTGGAGTGCAATGATGCGATCTCGGTTTACTGCAACCCCCTGCCTCCCAGGTTCAAGCAATTCTCCCGCCCTAGCCTCCTGAGTAGCTGGGATTAGAGGCATGCCACACCATGCCCAGCTAATTTTGTGTTTTTAGTAGAGACGGGGTTTTTCCTTGTTGGTCAGGCTGGCCCTGAACTCCTGACCTCAGGTGATCCACCTACCTCGGCCTCCCCAAGTGTTGGGATTACAGGCGTGAGCCGCTGCCCCTGGCCATTTTTTTTTAAAGATAACCTCTTGCTCTGTCACCCTCCTCTCCATATTATAGCTCTGGGGCCAAGCTGTATCACAATGGAAATCATGGAGCCACAGGAAGAATCCACTCAGCTTTGCAACATGCTGCCCAAGGGGTTGCTTGGAGTAACCAAATTAAGATTTTTCATTCTGCTCAGAGCAAAATACATGTGACAAAACATAGACACGAGCCACTTTGCTTAGCACCCAGTGTCAAACTGGTAAGACCCAAACTTGCTCCCAGATAGGCCGTGCCACCTCTAAATCTTTTTAGAAGCTTCTGCATATTAATAGGCATCCCTAGATGAGACTAATTTGGGAGCCCTCATTTTTAAATGCACTTCAGGGCATTATTCATTTGGAATGTTCCACTGTAAGTTATCTTTAGTAAGATTTTGCCATTTCTGTAAGACTTTGCTGCTTCCCAGGCCTAATGAATTAGCCAGAAGGAAGTAAGTTTTCCAGAAATTAAGGATCCTATTTTTACCTAATATATTGGCTTTACTCCCATGTTCCCTTCATTGACTTAGCCAATGATTTTTTTTCCTACCTAAGCGTGCGAGGAAAATGAAACAAAGGGGTAGAACACAAAAATCCCTGTGAATTTTCAAAAGCCAAATTTTACAACCCTCCAAAATTATCATTTGCTACCACTTTCCTTATGACCCATTCAGATGTAGGAGGTCTCTAACTGGAACTGGATTCAAGCCAGTTAACTACTGTATCAAATCTGATCCTGGACCCGGTCCCGTTTCTGTCATAACTTCTAAAACATCCAGTCAGTCATGGCTGGATAGCAGTTTGGAACAGAAATTTGCTCAAAGAAACTCAGAGCTCAAAACACAAATCCATGGAGCTCTGAAATCCGAGAGAGAATTTACCATGATCCCCAGCTGCTCTGAGAGGTCAAAGGGCACAAGTGTTACAGAATCCTGAGATGTCACTTTTCTGCCTGAAACCTCTGGCTGGTGGTGCCTTTACCTGTGTTTTGCTCGGGCCCACTGGGTTCATTCCATCCACTCGGCTCATGCTAGTGGTGTGGATCCCACACCTGCCAAGGGTGAGCTGGGTACAGAGCAGTGAAGGGTGTGTGAGCAAGCAAGCATGGGATCTGGCCACTGCACACAGCCAAGCATGCCAGCTGCAGTGAGGTGGGCAGCTCCAGGTACCGGCACAGATGCCAGCTCCCTGTGAGGCTGCAGCTGGACCAGACCGACTGCAAACAGCTTCCACTGTGTGTATCAGGGAATGCAGTGGCGCCCAGAAACTTGGAGATGCAGGAACTGCAGAGCCCCAAAGAAGACATCACAGCCCTGGCTTAGGGAGCTCCTAGGTCTGGGCTCCCTGAAGGGCCACAGCTCTTGTCTCCTTCTCTCTTCTCTTCTTCTTGCCTGCAATTTGGCAAGCAAGGGGGGCGTTTCAGCCCTGTTTATGTTACACCTCTTTCAGCCCTGCTAGTTGGCAGGTCCCGAGTTCTTGTCCTGAGTCCAGGAAGAATGAGGTATGTGGGCAAGTAGAAGGTGAGCAAGGTGAAGAGGTGCTTTATTGAACAACAGTACAGCTCAGAGGAGAACTGCAGTGGGTAACTCCTTTCTGCAGGCAGGTCATCCCAACGTCTTTTCAGCTCTCAGCAGCTGAGAGAGACACACTGTGGTTAGCTGTGCCCACATTGCCGAGGCTGTTCGAGCTGAGGAGTGCCTTCAGGCCAGTGCTGAGCCACTCTTAGCCCCACCTCAACCTCCGTCTTGTGCTCGTCACTGCCCAAAGTCTGGAGGGGGCCGAGGTGGCAGGGGGCTGGCATGTCAGCACTGCCCTGAGCTTGCACAAACTGGGCCGGGTTGCGACTGTGCCTGGGTTCAGCCTCAACTTGGATCCGAAGTTGGAGTGGACTCTGGGAGTGGAGAGATGCCAGGTGGTGGGACCAGGTACGACTGAGCCTGCGGGGGCAGGGGGGCTTGCTGGGCCTCTGAGAGTGCAAAGATGCCCGGGTTTGCAGTCATGGCTGGATGGCTGCAGCTGTGCCTGGGAGGGCGGGGCTCCTGCCTGCCAATTTAGAAGAGGTGGGGCTCCCACCCGTTCCTGGCTCCCACCAGCTTCGAGGAGCGCACAGCCCCAGCCACTCCTCCCCACTGCAGCCAGTGTCTCCGTAGCAACTGCTCCACGTGGACCACTGCTGCCATCACAGAGCAGTCCTGCAGTCCTTGCAGGTGCCTTTCTTGTACCTCAGCACTCCTGGGGGTCATTAGAAGCCCTAGCAACGCTGCTCACCACACTATAGCTCCGGAGGCCCTAGCAGTCCTGCTCCTACAGATCCCACTTCTGACACCATCTATTAAAAGAAAATCTTCAGCTTAATTAAATTTAAAGGAACTTAATTGAGCAATGAATGATTCACGAATCAGGCAGCCCCCAGAATCACAGCAGATTTGGTGAGACTCCAGCACAGCTACATGGTGGAAGATTTATAGACAATAAAGGGAACGTGATGTACAGAAATCTGAAGTGAGGAGTGCGGTCGAGAAGCAACTGGGTCCCTTACCGTTCTCAGCAGTGAGGTCCAGAAACAACTGGACTGGTTCCAGTGCTCAGCATTTGCCTTATCTGAACACAGCTGAACACTCAGCAGTGTGTGAGTGGCAGAAGTTTGGCTGTTGGGATTGGCCAGGACTCAGCTATAGTTACAGGCGCATACCCCTAAGTTAGGTTTTCAGTCTTCCTACCTATTAACTTAGGTTGCAGTTTGTCCACAGGGACTCAAATCTAGAAGTACAGAGTCCTTCCCAGGCCATATTTAGTTCACTGTAACAGTTCCTATTATGACCTCACTGACAGTTCTTTTTCTCTGAATTCTCCTTTCTTCTCAACAGCTTATCCAAATGTTCCATTAGTCCCTGTTCATCCCGCCCTGCAGTTCTCCTTGACTGATTCAGCCCTTTGTGGTTTGCAGTCCTGTTTCTCTACAGCTTGGACCCCTTCAGTCTTTCCATCATAGGTTTAACTCTCTGTTGAATGCTTCTTTGTAGCTACGCAAAAGTTACCTTAAGCTCAAAAAATTCAAAGTGAAAGCCACATCCTCCTCTCTTCCCTTATGTGTATGGTATTACTACCATGCAGCCAGTGACCCAAAATGGGATTTCTTCTGGGCTTTTCTTGCTTAGATTCAGGCTCATCTGGTGTCAAGCCTTGTTACTTTTGTTTCCTTGTTCTTTTATTTTAAATTTTTTTTCTTTTGAGACAGAGTTTCACTCTTGTTGTCCAGGCTAGAGCGCAGTGGTGTGATCTCGGCTCACTGCAGCCTCCACCTCCCGGGTTCAAGCAATTCTCCTGCCTCAGCTCCTGAGTAGCTGGTATTACAGGCATTTGCCACCATGCCCGGCTAATTTTGTATGTTTAGTAGTGATGGGGTTTCTCTGTTTTGATCAGGGTGGTCTCAAACTCCCGACCTCAGGTGATCCACATGCCTCGTCCTCCCAAAGTGGTGGGATTACAGGCGTGAGCCACCGTGCCTGGCCTGCTTGTTGTTTTCATCTCATCCTGATTTCTGAATACAGGAGAGGAGCTGAGTTGGTGTTCACTAACAAGCACAGAAGCTTTGTTACATTTACAGTGTCATTCTTGGCAAAACCTGAATGGTATGTTTGTGGGGTGATGAGATTCAGTCCCCTGTGACCTGTGCATCTGGCCAACACTGTGGTGACATCCTTAGGAATCAATGGGGAGAGAGAAAGCATTCAGGAGTTAGTGGGTCACATTTGACAAAGGCCAATAAAGAAATATGCAAAGAGAAAAATCAAGAAGAACATTGTCATATTTTATACCTTTTGTTTATATAAATTTATGTCAATGATTCTAGCTTATGTTAATATGCAATGTATACAATATGCTAACATATACAATATATGTTTATAGTTTAAACATTTCTGTCATGTTTTCAGATTCTTTAAAGATTATATTGCACTTCCTATTTCAGATAGCTGTTTAAAATGAGTAAGGAGAAACGGATGTTTGCATCAGTTCTAACTGTTTATGGACTAAAACTAGTTGATTTCTTAGTTAAGAACAAAAAGTGACAACCTAATTAACTGAAAATTTGAAGTAGGCAATTATAGTTTTAGCTTTAACGTAAAATATTAACTATGCTCCATTCTTGCATTTTTAACCTAATACTCAATATAAATCGCTACATGCCTTTTCAGATCAAGGTTCTACTTGTGATCTCTCATGAGTTTTTCAAGGTTTTAATTATCTGAGATGTAACAATGTACCAGTAACCTTACTGGCTTAAACCAGGAATTTATTCTTTTTACATGTCACAATTTTCTGGGTCAAGACACTGGACAGGGCGGTGTTGGTTGGTTGTTTCATGATGTCCTTGGTCTCATCTGGAAGGACTCTAGTGGCTGGGGACATGGAGCAGGCACCCAGCCCTCTCTTCGTGGCCAGTACGGACTTCCTCCCAGTCTGGCAGCATCAGGTAGTCAGGTTTGTCTGGCTTCTCCCAGGGTGTGTGTCCAAGAGGCCCAGGCAGAAGCTGTAAGGACTCTCATGATCGCCCCTCAGAAGTCCCAGAGCATCTCTCCTGCCACACTGTCCAGTCGCACTCATCACTGAGACCAGCCATGATTCAAGGGGGAAAGGTGATTAGATTCCACCTCTTGATGAGAAGCATAGTAGGAACCTGCAGCAGTCTTTAATAAATCATATCTGGTCCTCTGGCCACAAACTATTAACATTTCTCCTACATGCAAATTATGCTTTGCCCCTCTCAAGAGCCCCAGAAAGGTTTTCCTTATGGCACTGGCTGGTAGCCCAACTGAACCCTGAATCAGGTTGTGGTGGCCTGTCATCTGCACCCACACACACTCAGCCGCAGTGAGGACTGAATCAGGTTGTGGTGACCTGTCATCTGACCCCCCACACACAGCCACAGTGAGGACTGAATCAGGTTGTGGTGGCCTGTCTTCTGCCCCTGACACACTCAGCCACAGTGAGGACTGAATCAGGTTGTTGTGACCTATCATCTGAGCCCACAAACTCAGCTGCAGTGAGGGGACTGGTGTGAAAACAGTCGGCATTTCCCTTTAGAAGCTGTTGGTGGGAGGCAAGAGGGAAGTGCTGCCCTGCAGGCCCCGTCTAACAGTTGGTCATTCCCATGGGGTGCCTGTTACAGTTCTGTGATTAGTGCCCAGTCCTGGTCCCTGAGAACGGCGCCCAGTCCTGGTCCCTGAGAATGGTGTTTGTGTCCTTTTACTCTTCCCTCTGGGCTTTTGTCATTCTCCATGTTCTTTTTCCTTCAGTGCCTGGGTTGCCGTTGACCAACTTTCCCTGCCTTTTTCTTATGGTCAATAGGGTATTCAATGGCTTCTTTTTCATTTTTTTTTCCTTTTCTTTTCTTTTTTTTTTTTTCACTTTGGCCTTTTGAGACAAGAAGTTATTTCTTTATATTTTCTCTAAATTCTGTTTGAAAACTGAACCTTCTTCTTTAGATCATGTCCCTCTCCTGTCATATTTATTCAGTGACAGTTAGGGGAGGCTGGTAGCACTTTCCATGTTCTTCCCAGATGTCTCCTTAGGCAGATCCCTGAGATGGTGCAGTGCCCTTTCAGTTTCCATGTTGTGGCCATAGTTTTCCCACAGTCCCTCAGCACGTAGCTCTCAGGCCTTTTCTCCAGTTTCCAATGACATTTTCTCACCGACCTTCAGGCCCTGACCAAGTGTCTTGATGCTCTTCCAGGTTGCATGAATGGTCTACTTGAGGCCCAGTTACAGGTCAGCCTCACAGTCGTGGCACATATTGTAGCTTCTGATTACCACAGCGGCTCATTTCCAGCTACCATATTCTGTTCCAGTTATCTATTCTGAAGAAACCATCCCCAAAACTTGGCAGCCTAAAACAACTCATTATTACTTGTTTTTTGGCTTAGAGAGTCTTGGTGGTCAGCTCATCTCACACACAGTTGCAGCCAAGCTGGATTGTGTGAAAGCACAGTGAGGTGGTGTGCAGGGTGGCTCACTAGTGGTTGGGAGTGGATGTTGCTGGAGGCTCACTAGTTGTTGGGAGTCGGTGTTGCTGGAGGCTCAGTGGGGGATGTCAATGCATGTAGCTAGTCATGGACTGGCCGTGTGGTTTCCATCATGAGGTCTCAGGGGAGTGGGATTTCCTGCCTGGTGACTGGCTTTCTCCTGGATAAGTGTTCTGTTTTCTCAGCCTGGCTTCTGAAGTCCCCAAATACCACCTTTGTCACCTTCTGTTGGCCAAATAAGTCAGTAGTTTGGTCAAGGTTTAAGGGGAATTGGTCCTCACAGAGAGAGGAGCAGGAAAGTTGTCACCTTTAGTCTACCAGAAATGAGATTTTTATAACAAGTTTGTTCCAAATACATTCCAGTTCCCCTTGTGAATACTTTTTTGACTCACAGGGTATTTCAAAGTTTATTACTTGGTTTTCAGACATTTGAGGCTTTTCTGGTTATCAATTTGTTGTTGGTTTCCAATTTAATTTCAAGTGTTCAGACAACATCCTTTGTATAGTATTTCAGGCTTGAACCTTTTCTCAATCGATCGACATACAGTCTATCTTGGTACTGCCAAGTACCATTTGGGTCAGGATTTTGTCATTTAGATCCATATTTTTCCTATATTTTTATCTGGTTGTTCCATCAGTTACTGAGAGAGCAGTATTAATTCACCAGCTATAATTTTGGATTGTCAATTTCCTGCTTTTGTTCTGTTGTTTTTGATTCACATACTTTGAGGTTTTGTGTGTGTGTGTACTTTGTGTGCACTTTGAGGCACAATTTTTAATTGTAACATCATCCTCTCTGATTCTTTTATTTTTATTAAATTACCCTGTTTATTTCTGGTGATATATTTTGCTCTGAAGCCTCTATCATCTAGTGTTAACATCTCTGTTGAAGCTTTTTATGATTAGTGTCTGGATAGCATATTTTTATGATTAGTGTCTGCATAGCATATTTTTTCTCATACTTTGTTTGTGTCTTTGTGTTTAAATTGTGTCTCTGTGGATGCCATATTGTTGGGTCTTGCCTTCCTCTCAGGTCTGGCAGTCTCTGTCTTAAGTAGAGCATTTGTCCAGTTACATTGTAACTAATCATTGCTAAGGTTGGATTTAGGTCTGCCATTTTTCTACTTATTTTCTATTTGTTTGTTTATTTTTTTAAGACAGGGTCTTGCTCTGTCACCCAGACTGTAGTGCAATGGTGCAATCTTGGCTAACTGCAACCTCTGCCTCCCAGGCCCAACCAATCCTCACTTGAGCCCCCTGAGTAGCTGGGACTACAGGTGCATGACACCACACCTGGCTAATTTTTATATTTTTTGTAGAGATAAAGTTTTGCCATGTTGCACAGGCTGGTCTTGAACTCCTGAGCTCAAGCAACCTACCCACCTTGGCCTCCCAAATTGTTCAGATTACAGGCATGAGCCACCATGCCTGGTCTTCGTCTGTCTTTTGATCTTCTATATATTCTTTCCTAACTTCTTTTGGGTTAAATATTTCTAAATATTCCAGTTTGATTAATCTTTTGGCTTTTTGAAATAATTTTTTATAGGCTGGGCATGTTGGCTTATGCTCGTAATCTCAGCTCTGTGGGAGTCCAAGGGAGGTGGATTGCTTGAACCCAGGAGTTTGAGACCAGCCTGGGCAACATGGGAAAACCCTCTCTACAAAAAACCAAACCAAACTTTAGCCTGACATCTTGGTGTGCACCTGTAGTCCCAACTATTCGGGAGGCTCAGGTGGGAGGGTTGCTTGAGCCTGGGAGGTTGAGGCTGCAATGAGCTGTGATCATGCCATTGCACTCCTGCCAGGGCAACAGAGTAAGATCCTGTGTCAAAAAATATCATTTTTTATAAATAATTTATTATTTCTAATTTTGGTAACAAACACATACCTTAAAATTTACCATCATAACCAGTTGTAAGTGTACAGTTTTGTAGAGTTAAGAATATTTACAGTGTTGTGTAGCAGATTTCTAGATTTTTTTTTTTATCTTGGAAAACTCTATACCCATTCAACAACTATTAATTCCCCCTTCCTTCCACCTCCTGGCAAGTACTATTCTACTTTGTGTTTCTAAAACTTTGGCTTATATACCTAGGGTTATATAATATTTGTTGTTTTGTAAGTAGGTTCCATGTTATGTGTCAGATGTGTCAGGATTTTCTTCCTTTCTATGGCTGAATAATATTTCTTCATATATATATATATATATTTTCTCTCTCTCTCTCTCTCTATATATATATATCCTTTTGTTTATCCATCTATTCCTGGATGGACGTTTTGGTTTCTTCTACTTGTGGCTGTGTAATGCTCCTGTGAACATAGGTGTGCACATATCTGTTGGAGTTCCTGCTACTAGTTATTCTGTCTCTGTAGAAGTTGGATGCCTGGATCATATGGTCATTTTATTTTATTTTTTATGAGGAGCCAGTTCATATTTCCACCAACAGTGTTCAAGGGTTTCAGTTTCACCTGCACTTGTTACTTTCTGTTGGGTTAGAAGTGATGTCCCATTGTGGTTTCTATTTGCATTTCTTTAATGACTAGTGATGTTACACATCTTCTCATATATCTCATGTATCTGTTGGCTATTTTTATATTATCTTTGCATCTTTGGATAAATGTTCTTTGTCCATTTTTTAATCACTTTATTTTGTTGTTGTGTTGTAGTGGGGTTTTTTGGTCATGATCATTCATTTATCTCACAGTTCATTCTTGTTACTTGGGCCAGGGTCATGGTCAATCATTATCTCTCAGTTCATCCTCATTACGTTGGGCAAACAGTCATGCTGCAGGGTATAGATTATGTTATTCTGTTACTTTCAGGTAGAATTGGGGTCTAGGTTCTAATTGTTTCTAAGTTTAGATTCTGAATGAGAATCAGCAGAGATAGACCACTGCTGCTGAGGCCTGGGGATTGCTGGGGAAAAGGCAGGAAACAGGTACGGACCTGACCATGGAAGATTTGTGTTTCACGGCTCCCATCTGGGTACCCAAGGAACCTACATGTAGCTCGTGTGTGGAGAGCCTACATTGCCCACTCAAAGCAATTGAGGATGGAACAGTCTTGGGGCTGGAGCTCATTATTTGGAATGATAACCACATCTGCACAGAGAGGACCTGACAAGATGTTGTCCTTCCATGTATATCTGGGAATCCTCTGTAGGGTCTCTCTGTAAGGACAGGGGCAGTGTTGGCTCCTTGGCCTCTAGTTAGCCTCACAAGTAGTCTAGTAAAGGCTTTGCAAACTTGTCACCATCTGTGGACATTCTGGCCAGCTCTTGTTTTCACCTTACTGACTTCTTCAGACACTAGGCTTTGCTTTAGACCATTCATGGTTTTTCTTCCTCTTCAAATCAGTAATCAATAAATCCTCTTCAAGTCAATAAATTTCCACTCCTTTAGGAAACCCTGATCTTCTGGTCACATCAAGGTTTAATTAACTGGTTTGATTGTTTTTCTGTTTTGTTTTTTTTTTCCTTCTTCCTAGGGGTTTCTAGTAATTCTAGTTTGATGTCTCACTTTCTCCATTTTTTATTTCTTAGTTTTCTTCTGTGATTATTTTCACTGCAGCTGCAGGGCCTAATCCTAGGTTGGCAGAGAACTAGCACTTACTCTGCCCTAATTGGAATCCAGGAGAGATAGGAGGTGCCCTAGTGTGAAAATGTGTTTGCTCCTCTCTGCTTCTGGAAGTCTCTCTGTAGGAGTACTTTACGTATTCTGAATGTTCACTTCTTATGAGATACATGATGAGCAACTATAGGTTGAATGTCTCTGATCCAAAAATCTGAAATCCCAAATGCTCCAAAGTCTGAAATTTTAGAGTGCCAACATGAAACTCAAAGGAAATGCTTATTGGAGCATCTCAGACTCAGGTGTTTGAATTCGAGATGCTCAACCAGTAAGAATAGTGCAAATATTACAAAATCTGAAACACATCCCAAGCATTTCAAATAAGGAACACTCAACTGGTATTTTATTTATTCTACAGTTTGCCTTTTACCCTGTTGGTTGTGACCTTTGAGGTACAGAAGTTTTTAGGTTTGATATATTTTTGCTTTTACTGCCTGAGCTTTTAATGTCATATCCTAAAAATTATTGACAAATTCATCGTCATAAAGCATTTTCCAAATTTGTTTTCCCTAGGAGTTTGATAGTTCTAGTTTTACATTTAGGTTTATAATTCACTTTGAATTAATTTTAACGTGGTGTAAGGTAAGAGTCCAACTTCACTGTTTTGCATGTAGATATACAAATTCCCCAACACAATTTGTTGCAGAAACTGTCCTTCACCATTGAGTGGTCTTGGCATCCTTGTGGAAGATCATCGGACCATATATGCCAGGGTTGGTTTCTGAGGTCTCTGTTGTGTTGGTCCATAAGTGTGTCAAGAGTGTATTTATGCCATGACCACATTTTTTTTTGGCTTATTGCAGTTTTGTAATTGTTTTGAGACCTTTAATTTTGTTCTGTTTCAAGATCGATTTGCCTATTCATGGGCCCTGGAGATTCCATATGAATTTTAGGATAGGTTTTTCTGTTTATCAAAAATGTCATTGGAATCTTTATAAGGATTGTATTGAATCTAGGTCACTTCGAGTAGTGTTGACATCATTCCAAGATGAAATCATCTAATCGGCAAACCTAGCTTTTCTTTTCATTTATTTGTGTTTAATTTCTTTCAACAGTGTTTTGTAGTTTTCTGTGTTCAAATCTTTTGCCCTCTTGGTGAAGCTTATTTCTAATTTTTTTCTTTTTTTTAAGACAGAGTCCCACTCTTTCGCCCAGGCCGGACTGCAGTGGCGTGGCGCAATCTCAGCTCACTGCAAGCTCCGCCTCCCCGGTTCATGCCTTTCTCCTGCCTCAGCCTCCCGAGTAGCTGGGACTACAGGTGCCCGCCAAGGCACCCGGCTAATTTTTTGTATTTTTAGTAGAGACGGGGTTTCACCGTGTTAGCCAACATGGTCTTGATCTCCTAACCTCGTGATCCGCCCGCCCGCCTCAGCCTCCCAAAGTGCTGAGATTACAGGCGTGAGCCACCGCGCCCAGCCTCTAATTTTTTTAATGCTGTTGTAAATGTAATTCTTTTTTTTTTTTTTTTTTGAGATGGAGTCTTGCTCTGTCTCCCAGGCTGGAGTGCAGTGGCACTATCTCAGGTCACTGCAACCTGCACCTTCCTTATTCAAGCAATTCTCCAACGTCAGCCTCTCAAGTACCTGGGATCACAGGTGCACGCCACCACGCCCAGCTAACTTTTTGGTATTTTTAGTAGAGACAGGGTTTCTCCATGTTGACCAGGTTAGTCTTGAACTTGTGACCTCAGGTGATCTGCCCGCCTCGGCCTCCCAAACTGCTGGGATTGCTGGCATGAACCACCGCACCCGGCCAAATGTCATTCTTTTTAAAAATTTCTTTTGTTTTCTCTTTCTTTTCTATTCTTTTCTTTTCTTTTCTTTCTCTCTCTTTCTTTCCTTTCTTTCTTTTTTTTGAGACGGTGTCTCACTCTGTTTCCTAAGTTGGAGCACAGTGGCACAATCTCAGCTGACTGCAACCTCCAACTTCCAAGTTCAAGCAATTCTCCTGCCTCAGCATCCCAAGTAGCTGGGACTACAGGTGTCTGCCACTATGCCCAGCTAATTTTTGTATTTTTAATAGAGATAGAGTTTTACTATTTATATTAGAGATGGGGTTGGCCCAGCTGGTCACGAACTCCTGACCTCAGGTGGTCCACCCACCTTGGCCTCCCAAAGTGCTGGGATTACAAGTGTGAGCCACTGCACCTGGCCTCTTTTTAAAATTTAATTTGCAGATTGTTCATTGTTAGTTTATAGAAATGCAACTGACTTGAGAGTGTTACTATATCCTGAAACTTTGTTGAATTTCATTATTCTACCAGTATTTTGTGGAATTTCAGAATTTTTACACATAACATCCTGTTGTCTGTGAACAAAATTTTGTACTTTTTCCTTTCCGATTGGCATGCTTTTTATTACTTTCTCTTGCCTAATTATTCTAAGTAGAAATTCCAGTGCTGTGGTGAATAGAAGTGGCAGGAAGAGAAGTTGCTATCTTATTCCTGATCCTAGAGGAAAAGATTTTAGTTTTTCACTATTGAGTATGATGTTAGCTGTGAGCTCTTCATGTATAATCTTTATTTACTGAGGAGTTTCCATATATTACTAATTCTTTGAGTGTTTTTATTACAAAAGGTGTTCATCTGGCTCTGGAACCAGATAAATGTTGACCGATAGAATGGACTGGAATGTCCCCTTCTGGTTTTTGAACATTTTTGGAAGATTTTGCAGAGGATTGGCATTAATTCTTCTTGAAATGTTTGGTAAAATTTTCCAGTGAAGTTATCTGGACCTGGAATTTTCTTTTTGGTGGGGTTTTTGATTACTGGTTGAATCTTCTTACTAGTTACAGGTCTCTTTGGATTTTTTATTTCTCCGTGATGCAGTATGGTGGTTTGTGTTTCTAGGAATTTATAAATTTATTCTAGGTTGCCCAGTTTTGTGGCATATGGTTGCTCACATTAGTGTCTTGTAATCTTTTTCATTTCTGTGGCATGTGTTGTACTGTCAACTCTTTTATTTATGATTGTAGTATTTGAGATTTCTCTTTTTTTCTTAATATAGCTGTGAGTTTTAAAATTTTTATTGATCTTTAAAAAAACAAACTCAGTGTTTTTTTTTCCTTTTTTTCTGGTCTTATTCTGCTTATCTCTGCTCTAATCTGTTATTTTCTTCCTTTTGCTTGGTTTGTCATTAGTTTTTTTTTTCCTTCTTCAGGTGTAATGTTAGGTTATTGATTTGAGAACTTTCTTCTTTTTAATTTAAGCACCGGCAGCTATAAGCTTCCCTTTAGCAAGGGTTTGAGATCTTTCTTCTTTTTAATTTAAGCATCTGCAGCTGTAAACTTCCCTTTAGCACGGGTTTGAGATCTTTCTTCTTTTTAATTTAAGGATCTGCAGCTGTAAGCTTCCCTTTAGCAAGGGTTTGAGATCTTTCTTCTTTTTAATTTAAGCATGTGCAGCTGTAAACTTCCCTTTAGCACGGGTTTGAGATCTTTCTTCTTTTTAATTTAAGGTTCTGCAGCTGTAAGCTTCCCTTTAGCATGGGTTTGAGATCTTTCTTCTTTTTAATTTAAGCATCTGCAGCTGTAAGCTTCCCTTTAGCACTGCCTTTGTTGCCTCCTCCTGAGTTTGGGTATGTCATGGTTTCGTTTTCATTTGCTTAAACATTTTTTGCCCTATTGTAATATAATTGTGTTGTTTTTAATAAAGGTAATTAATGAAACACATAATGAATTGTGCTTCTGTTTTTATAATATTTTAAGCATTCTTAACTCAGAAATGTAAATTTTAGAAAAAAATTCCAGGCCAGGCACAGTGGCTCACACCTGTAATCCCAGCACTTGAGGAGGCCGAGGCGGGAGGATCATCTGAGGTCAGGAGTTGGAGACCACCCTGGCCAACATGGTGAAACCTGTCTTTACTAAAAATAGAAAAAAAATATATAAAAGTTAGCTGCGTGTCATGGCGGGTGCCTGTAATCCCAGCTACTCTGGAGGCTGAGGCAGGAGAATCACTTGAATCTGGGAGGCGGAGGTTGCAGTGAGCTGAGATTGCACCACTGCACTCCAGCCTGGGTGACAGAATGAGAGTCCGTCTCAAAAAAAAAGAAAAAAAAATTTCAGACATATTTATTTGTATTTCAATTTAGAAACTGTGATCTCCTAAGTGTATTGACACAGCAACGTGACATAAAGATAAAGAATAATAAGCATATAACAAAACAGAAACTTGCAAATACCTGTTTTTTATTAATTTTTAATTATATATATTTAAAAATTGCCAGGTGCAGTGGCTTACACCTGTAATCCCAGCACTTTGGGAGGCTGAGGTGGGCAGATCACATGAGGTCAGGAGTTTGAGACCAGCCTGGCCAACATGGTGAAACCTCATCTCTATTAAAAATCAAAAAATTAGCCAGGCGTGATAGCATGCATCTGTATTCCCAGCTACTCGGGAGACTGAGGCAGGAGAATTGCTTGAACATGGGAGGCAGAGGTTGCAGTGAGCCAAGATAGTGCCACTGCACTCCAGCCTGGGTGACAGAGTGAGGCTCTGTCTCAGAAAAATAAAAATTGTCTGGGCGTGGTGGCTCACACCTGTAATCGCAGCACTTTGGGAAGCTGAGGCAGGCAGATCACGTCAGGAGATCGAGACCATCCGGGCTAACACGGTGAAACGCCATCTCTACTAAAAATACAAAAAATTAGCCGGGCGTGGTGGTGGGTGCCTGTAGTTCCAGCTACTCCGGAGGTTGAGGCAGGAGAATGGTGTGAACCTGGGAGGTGGAGCTTGCAGTGAGCCGAGATTGCACCACTGGACTCCAGCCTGGGTGACAGAGCGAGAGTCTGTCTCAAAAAAATAAAATAAAATAAAGCTAAGGTGTGGTTGAAACACAAAAATTACAAATATTTAATATATACCTTGTGTGTGTGTGTGTGTGTGTGTGTGTGTGTGTGTGTGTGTTACGGAGGTTTTACTCTTGTTGCCCAGGCTGGAGTGCAGTGACACGATCTCAGCTAACTGCAACCTCCGCCTCCTGGGTTCAAGCAATTCTCCTGCCTCAGCCTCCTGAGTAGCTGGGATCACAGGCGTGCACCCCCAAGCCTAATTTTTGTATTTTTTTAGTAGAGACAGGGTTTCACCATGTTGGCCAGGCTGGTCTCGAACCCCTGACCTCAGATGATCCACCTGCCTCGGCCTCCCAAAGTGCTGGGATTACAAGGCGTGTGACACCGAATATATACATATTAATGAGTATAGGGATAAGTATTCGCCCCAGGTCTCATCACAACAAATAATGCCGTAAACTTGACAATCACTCCCCATATATTTCTCATTCTCACCCTTTTTAAAAAATGAGACCGGGAGTGGCGGCTCACGCCTGTAATCCCAGCACTTTGGGAGGCCAAGGCAGGTGGATCACGAGGTCAGGAGATCAAGACCATCCTGGCTAACACAGTGAAACCCGTTTCTACTAAATATACAGAAAATTAGCCAGGTGTGATGATGGGCACCTGTAGTCCCAGCTACTCGGGAGACTGAGGCAGGATAATGGTGTGAACTCGGGAGGCAGAGCTTGCAGTGAGCCGAGATCGTGCCACTGCACTCCAGCCTGGGCAACAGAGTGTGACTCCGTCTCAAAAAAAAAAATGAGATGACCATTTCACATAAAATATACCCTCTTAAGTATTTTTTTAAGTGTACAATACAGGACGTCCATGCATCAGAGATACATGTGGGTTTGGTTCCAGACCACTGCAATAAAGTTTTATACAATTTCTTTTGGTTTCCCAGTGCATGTAAAAGTATGTTTATACTGTGCTGTATAAAGTGTGCAATAGCATATGTCTACAAAGTATGCACACTTTAATTTACAAATACTTTATTGTTAACAAGTGCTAACAGTCATCTGAGCCTTCAGAAAGCTGCAATCTTTTTTTGTGTGTGTGACAGGGTTTTACTCTGTGGCTCAGGCTGGAGTAATTGCAGCCTCAACCTCATGCTCAATCAAACCCCCACCTCAGACTCCTGACTAGCTGGGACTACAGGTGCATGCCACCGTGTCCAGCTAATTTTTGTATTTTTTTTTGTAGAGATGGGGTTTTGCCATGTTGCCTTGATGTCCTGGGCTCAAGCAATCCACCCACCTTGGCCTCCCAAGGTGTTGGGATGGCAGGTGTGAGCCACTGCACCTGGCCAAGTTTCAGTCTTCTTGCTGATGGAGGGTCTTACCTTAATGTAAGGTGGTGGTTGCTGAGCGTTGGGGTGGCTGTGGCAATTTCTTAAAATAAGACAACATTGAAGTTTGCTGTGTCAATTGACTGTCCCTTTCACAAAAATATTATCTGTAGCATAAGATGATAGCTTTTTACCCACAGTAGAACTTTCAAAATTGGATTCAATGCTGTCAAAACTTCGTACTGCTGTACCAACTAAGTTTATGTATTATTGTAAATCATTGGGTTCAATCCTGTCAAGCCTTCCTTCTGCTGTACCAAGTTTATTCTAAATCTGTTGTCATCTCAACATTGTTTACACTGTCTTCACCACGAGTAGATTTCATCTCAAGAAACCACTTTCTTTGCTCATCCGTGGAAGCAACTCATCCTCTCACGTTTTCTCCAGAGGCTGCTTCAGTCTCGCCAGATCTTCAGGCTCTGTCTCTGATTCTAGTGCTCTTGTTATTTCCACCATATCTGCAGTTACTTCCTCCACAGAAGTCGTGAACCCCTGTGTCATCAGTGAGGGTTGGAATAATCTTCCCAACTTCTCTCTCTTTCTTTTATTTTTTTGAGATGAAGTCTTGCCTGGGCTGGAGTGCAGTGATGCGATCTCAGCTCACTGCAACCTCCACCTCCCGTGTTCAAGCAATTCTCCTGCCTCAGCCTCCCAAGTGTTTGGGATTACTGTCACCCCCGACCAGGCCCAGCTAATTTTTTTTGTGTTTATAGTATAGACAGGATTTCACTATGTTGGCCAGGCTGGTCTCAAATTCCTGACCTCATGATCCACATGCCTTGGTCTCCCAAAGTACTGGGATTATAGGCGTGAGCCACCAAGCCCGGCCCCAACTTCTCCTAATGTTGCTATTTTGATCTTCTTTTTTAAATCATGAATGTTCTCAATGGCATCTAGAATGGTGAATCCTTTCCAGTAGGTTTTCAATTATTTTGCCCAGATCCATCAAAGGAATCACTTTCTAGAGAAGCTATAGCTTTATGAAATATATTTTTTAAGTGATAAGACTTGAAAGTTGAAATTACTCTTTGATCCAAGGGCACCAGAATGAATGTTGGGTTAGTAGGCATGAAAACAATATTCAGCTCTTTATACATCTCTGTAAAAGCCCTTGAGTACCAGGGGCATTGTCAGTGAGCGGTAATACTTTGAAAGGAATCTTATTTATTGAGCAGTAGTTGTCGACAGTGGGCTTAAGATATTCAATAAACCATATTTGTAAACCGATAGTCTGTCATCCAGGCTTTGTTCCCATTTGTAGAGTACAGGCAGAGCTGTGTTTTATCATAATTCTTCAGGGCCCTTGGATTTTCAGAATAGTAAATCATCATTGGTTTCAAGTTAACATCACCAACTGCATTAGGCCTTAACAAAAGATTCAGCATGTCCTTTGAAGCCTTAAATCCAGACATCAACTCCTCTCTAGCTGGGAACATCCTGGATGGCATCTCCTTCTAATAGAAGGCTGTTTTGTCTCCATTGCAAATCTGTTTAGTGTAGCCATCTTAATCAATTATCTTCTAGATAGCTTTCTGCAGCTTTTCCATCAGTACTTGTTGCTTTATCTTGCGCTTTTATGTTATGGAGATGACTTTTTTCCTTAAACCTCAAGAAACAAGCTCTTCTAGCTTCAGACTTTTCTTCTGCAGCTGCCTCACCTCTCTAAGTCTTCATAGAATTGAAGAGAGGCCGGGTGTAGTGGCTGTCACACCTGTAATCCTAGCACTTTGGGAGGCTGAGGCGGGCAGATCACCTGAGGTCGGGAGTTCGACACCAGTCTGACCAACGTGGAGAAACCCCGTCTCTACTAAAAATACAAAAAATTAGCCAGGCGTGGTGGTGCATGCCTGTAATCCCAGCTACTCGGGATGCTGAGGCAGGAGAGCTTGAACTTGGGAGGCAGAGGTTGCGATGAGCCAAGATCACGCCATTGTACTCCAGCTTGGGCAAGAAAAATGAAACTCTGTCTCAAAAACAAAGAAAAAAGTAAAAAGAGAGTTAGGCTTAGGCTTAATGGAATTTTTTTTATCTTCTATCTATATCAATTAAACTTTCTTCATAACAGCAGCAAGATTGTTTAGCTTTTTATCATTCATGTATTCACTGGAGTAGTACTTTAAATTTCTTTCCAGAACACTTCCTTTGCATTCACAACTTGGCTAAGTGTTTGTTGCATGAGGTCTAGCTACTGGCCTGTCTTGCTTACAGCATGCCTTCCTCACTAACCTTAATTATTTCTTCCTTTTGGTTTAAAGTGACAGACATACAACTCTTCTTTCACTTGAACTTATAGAGGCTATTGTAGGGTTATTAATTGGCCACATTTTAATATTAATAAAAAGAAGCCTGAGAAAAAGAGAGAGAAAGAGAAATGGCACGTGGGTGGGGCAGTCAGAACAAACGCATTTGTCAATTGTTTGCTGTCTTATCCTGGTGTGATTTGTGGTTCCCAAAACAATGACAACAGTAGCATTAAAGATCACTGATTACAGATCACCACAACAGATTCAATAATAAAAAGCTTAAAATACTGTGAGAATGACCGAAATGTGACACAGAGACGTGAAGTGAGCACGTGCTGTAGGAACTATGGTGCCAGTCAGACCTGCTTATTGCAGGGTGGCCACAAACCTTCAATATGTAAAACACATGGTCACAAAACACAATAAAGCAAAGTGCAGTGAAACAAGATGTGTCTGTCTTTTGATAGACTCTGACAATCTCTATCTTTGAATTGATACATTCATACCATTAGCATTCAAAGTGATTATTGATATCATTGGATTAATATCTACTATATTTGTTACTGTTTTCTATTCATTCTCCTCAGTCTCCATTCTTTTGTCTACCACTCTTTTTCTGCCTTTTGCAGTTTTCATTGATGATTTTAGATGACTACATTTTCCCTGTCTTTCTTAGCATGTACTTCTCTTTTTAAAACTTTTTTTAACTAGTTGCCACAGAATTTGCAATATACATTTACAACCAATTCAAGTCCACTTTCAAATAACACTATCCAACTATCCCACAAATAAGACCACCTGCTTAACAAACAAAACACCTAATTCCTCAGTAACATTTACAACCAATGCAAGTCCACTTTCAAATAACACTATCCCACTATCCCACAAATAAGACTACCTGCTTAACAAAGAACACACCTAATTCCTCAATATACATTTACAACCAATTCAAGTCCACTTTCAGATAACACTATCCCACTTCACGGGTGACTACCTGCTTAACAAAGAAAACACCTGATTCCTCCCTCCCATCCTTCCATTCCATTCCTTGTATTGTTCCTTATTTCACTTGTGTATAAGCATACATAATCTATCTGTGTGTATTTATTATTATCTACAAACTTATTGGTCAGATCAATTATGAATAAATACATGCTTTTATTGTACCACAATTCTTCCCTCCCATCCTTCCATTCCATTCCTTGTATTAGTGTTACTCATTTAACTTGTGTATAAGCATAGATAATCTATATGTGTGTATTTGTTATTGTCTATGAACTTCTTGGTCAGATCAATTAAGAATAAATACATAGGTTTTTATTGTACCACAATTCTTTAATGCTCTTTTTTAAAAAATGTTGATCCAAGTTTCAGTTATATATCTTTTGTTTCCCTCTAAAGAATTTCATTTAACATTTCTTGCAAGACAGGTCTCCTGGCAACAAGTTTCTTGAATTTTTATTTTTCTGAGGAAGGCCTTAATTCTCCTTCACTTTTGAAGGATGTTTTCAGTGGGTACAGAAACTTAGGTTGGTGGGTTTTTTTCTGTCAACATTTTGAATTTTTCATTTCACTGTCTTCTTGCTTTCACAGTTTCTGCAATGTTGAATGCAGTTCTTATCTTTGTGTCTCTGTAGGTAAGGTGTTTTCTGCCCCACCTCTGGTTTCTTTCAGAGTTTCCCTTTATCTTTTATTTCATAGAGTTTGAAAATTATATGTCCAAGTGTAGGTTGTTGGCATTTATTCTGCCTGGTGTTCTCGGAGCTTCCTGGATCTTTGGTTTGGTGTCTGACATTAATACTGGAAGTTCTCAGACATGGTTGTTGCAGAACTTTCTTCTATTTCTTCACCTCCTGGTATTCTCATTACTCTGTTTCACCTTGTGTAGTTGTCCCACAGTCTTGGATATCATCTTCTGTTATTTTCAGTGTTTCTTTTCTTTAGTTTTCGAAGTTTCTGATGATAAATCCTCAAGCTCAGAGATTATTTACTCAGCTGAGTCCAGTCTACTAATAAGCCATCAGAGGTATTCTTCAGTTATTTACCACATTTTTTACCACTACATTATGTTGAAGGTTCTTACGATGTCTGTCTTTCTGATTACATTACCCATCTATACTTGAATGCTGTCTACTTCATTCATTAGGCTCTTAGCATATTCTCCAGAGGTTTAAAAAAATTCCAAAATCATATCTTTGTCTGCTTCTGAAGCTTGCTCTGTTGACACAAATTGTATTTTTTTTCTTTTTTTGGATTTTAGTATGCCTTGCAATTTTTTCCCTTTATTCTCATGAATGAAGCACCCACTAAAAGTGACTGCTGTTAGTATAGCTTTAGTAATGCGGTGATGAGGTGACAGGGCAGGTGATGCTCTCTTAGTCTTTTTAGGCTACTATAACAAAATACTTTAGACTGAGTAATTCATAAACAACAGAGATTATTGCTCACAGATCTGGAGGCTGGAAAGTCCAAGACTAAAGGGGCAGGATATTTAGTGTTTGGTGAAGGACAAACACTCAGACACTCACAACGACTATAGTGACAGCAGCAGTCTTCAGGAATCCTATGTGAGGGACAAACACTCAGAAGCCAGCTGGAGTATTCCAGAATCCTATGTGAGGGACAAACATTCAGACCCCAGCAGTAGTGTTGTGGAATCCTTTGTGAGGGAAAAACTTTCAAACCCTTGTAGCAGTGTTCTGCAATCCTATGTGAGGGACAAAAATTCAGAACCTCGTAGCAGTGTTCTGGAATCCTATGTGAGGAACAATCAGACCACGGCAGGAATGTTCTGGAATCCTATGTGAGGGGCAAACATTCAGACCACAGCAGGAGTGTTCTGGAATCCTATGTGAGGGGCAAACATTTCAAAACCTCGTAGCAGTGTGCTGGAATGTTATGTCAGGGACAGACATTTAGACCCTCGCAGCAGTGTTCTAGAATCCCATCTGCAGGACAAACATTTAGACACTCGCAGCAGTGTTCTGGAATTCTATGTGAGGGACATTCAAACCCCAACAGCAGTGTTCTAGAATCCTATGTGAGGGACAGACGTTCAGACCCCAGCAGCAGTGTTCTGGAATCCTATGTGAGGTACAAACATTCAGATACCAGCAGAAGTGTTCTGGAATCCTATGTGAGGGACAAACATTCAGACCCTCGTAGCACTGTTCTGGAATCCTATGTGAGTGGCAAAAATTCAGACCACGGCAACAATGCTCAGGAATCCTATGTGAGGGACAAACATTCAGACCCTAGTAGCAGTGTTCTGGAATCTTATGTGAGGGACAAACATTCAAACCACAGCAGCAGTGTTCTGGAATCCTATGTGAAGGACAAACTTTCAGACCACAGCAGGAGAGTTCTGGAATCCTATGTGAGGGACAAACTTTCAGACCAAAACAGGAGTGTTCTTTAATCCTATATGAAGGACAAACATTCAGACCCCAGGAGCACTGTTCTGAAATCCTATGATAAGGGCAAACATTCAGACCCCAACATGAATGTTCTGGAATCCTATGTGAGGGACAAGCATTGAGACCATAGCAGGAGTATTCTGGAATCCTATGTGAGGGACAAACATTCAGACCCTTGTAGCAGTGTTCTGGAATCCTATGTGATTAACAAACATTGAGACCACAGCAGGAGTGCTCTGGAATCCTATGTGAGGGACAAACATTCAGACCCCAGAAGGAGTGTTCTGGAATCCTATGTGAAGGACAAACATTCAGACCCTCATAGCAGTGTTCTGGAATCCTATGTGAGGGACAAACATTCAGACTCTCCCAGCAGTCTTCTGGAATTCTATGTGAGGGACAGACATTGAAACCCCAGCAGCAGTGTTCTGGAATCCGATGTGAGGTACAGACATTCAGACCCCAGCAGCAGTCTTCTGGAATCCTATGTGAGGGACAAACTTTCAGACCCTCATAGCAGTGTTCTGGAATCCTATATGAGGTACAAACATTCAGACCCTCATAGCAGTGTTCTGGAATACTATGTGAGGGACAACCATTCAGACCATGGCAGTTCTGAAATGCTATGTGAAGGACAAACATTCAGACCCTCGTAGCAGTGTTCTGGAATCCTATGTGAAGGACAGACATTTAGACCCTCGAAGCAGTGTTCTGCAGTCTTAAGTGAGGGACAAAAATTCAGACCCTCGTAACAGTGTTCTGGAATGCTTTTTGAGGGACAGACATTGAGACCCCAACAGCAGTGGTCTGGTATCCTATGTGAGGGACAAACATTCACTCCTCACCAACAGTGTTCTGTAATCGTATGTGAGGGACAAGCATTCAGACCCCAGCAGCAGTGTTCTGGAATCTTATGTGAGGGACAAACATTGAGACCCTCGTAGCAGTGTTCTGGAATCCTACGTGAGACACAAACATTCGTACCACAGCAGAAGTGTTCCGGAATCTTATGTGAGGGACAACCATTCAGATCACAGCAGGAGTGTTCTGGAATCCTTTGTGAGGTACAACCATTCAGACCACAGCAGGTGTGTTCTGGAATCCTATGTGAGGGACAAATATTCAGACCCTCATTGCAGTGTTCTGGAATCCTTTGTGAGGGACAAACATTCAGACCCCAGCAGGAGGGTTCTGGAATCCTGTGTGAGGGACCAACATTCAGACCCTCGTAGCAGTGTTCTGGAATGCTATGTGAAAGACAACCATTCAGACCCTCATAGCAATGTTCTGGAATCCTATGTCAGGGACATTCAGACCCCAGCCGCAGTGTTCTGGAATCCTATGTGACAGACAAACATTCAGACCACAGCAGGAACGTTCTGGAATCCTATGTGACGGACAAACGTTCAGACCATAGCAGCAGTGTTCTGCAATCCAATGTGAGGGACAAACATTCAGAGACCAGCAGCAGTGTTCAGGAATCCTATGTGAGGGACCAACAATCAGACCCTCGTAGCAGTGTTCTGAAATCCTATGTGAGGGAGAAACATTCAGAACCCAGCCGCAGTGTTCTGAAATCCTATGTGACAGAAAAACATCCCGACCACAGCAGCAGTGCTCTGGAATCCTATGTGCGGTACAAACTTTCAGACCACAGCAGGAGAGTTCTGGGATCCTATGTGAGGGACAAACTTTCAGACCCCAGGAGCAGTGTTCTGAAATCCTATGTTAAGGGCAAGCATTTACATCCCAGCATGAATGTTCTCAAATCCTAGGTAACGGACAAACATTCAGACCACAGCAGGAGTGTTCTCGAATCCTATGTGAGGAACAAATATTCAGACCACAGAAGGAGTGTTCTGGAATACTATGTGAGGGACATTCATACCCTCTTAGCAGTGTTCTGGAGTCCTATGTGATGAACAAACTTTCAGACCACAGCAGGAGAGTTCTGGAATCCTATGTGAGGGACAAACTTTCAGACCCCAGGAGCAGTGTTCTGAAATCCTATGTTAAGGGCAAGCATTTACATCCCAGTGTGAATGTTCTCGAATCCTAGGTAAGGGACAAACATTCAGACCACAGCAGGAGTGTTCTCGAATCCTATGTGAGGAACAAACATTCAGACCACAGAAGGAGTGCTCTGGAATACAATGTGAGGGACATTCATACCCTCTTAGCAGTGTTCTGGAGTCCTATGTGGTGAGCAAACTTTCAGACCACAGCAGGAGTGTTCTGGAATCCTATGTGAGGGTCAAACATTCAGACCACAGCAGGAGTGTTCTGGAATCCTATGTGAGGGCAAACATTCAGACCCACGTGGCAGTGTTCTGGAATCCTATGTGAGGGACAAATATTCAGACCACAGCAGGAGTGCTGTGGAATCCTATGTGAGGGACAAACATTCAGAACCTCGCAGCAGTGTCCTGAAATCTTATGTGAGGGAGAGACATTTAAACCCTCGCAGCAGTGTTCTGGTATCCCATGTGAGGGACAAACATTCAGACCCTCCCAGCCATGTTCTGGAATTCTATGTGAGGGAAAGACATTCAAACCCCAGCAGCAGTGTTCTGGAATCTGATTTGAGAGGCAGACATTCAGACCCCAGCAGCAGTGTTCTGGAATGCTATGTGAAGGACAAACATTCAGACCACGGGAGCAGTGTTCTAGAATCCTACGTGAAGGACAAACATTAAGACTCTCATAGCAGTGTCCTGGAATCATATCTGAGGAACAACCATTCAGACACCAGCAGAAGTGTTCTGGAATCCTAGGTGTGGGAAAAACATTCAGAACCTAGTAGCAGTGTTCTGGAATCCTATGTGAGGGACATACATTCAGACCACGGCAGCAGTGTTCTGGAATGGTATGTGAAGGACAAACATTCAGACCCTTGTAGCAGTGTTCCGGAATTCTATGTGAGGGACAAACATTCAGACCACAGCATCAGTGTTCTGGAATCCTATATGACGGACCAACATTCAGACCCTTGCAACAGTGTTCTGGAATACTAGGTGAGGGAGAAATATTCACACCCTTGTAGCAGTGTTCTGGAATTCTATGTGACTGACAAACATTCAGACTCCAGCAACAGTGTTCTGTAATCCTATGTGAGTGACAAACATTCAGACCCCAAGAGCAGTGTTCTGAAATCCTATGTTAAGGGAAACATTGAGACCCCAGCATGAATGTTCTGGAATCCTATGTGAGGGACAAACATTCAGACCACGGCAGGAGTATTCTGGAATCCTATGTGAGGAGCAAACATTCAGACCACAGCAGAAGTGTTCTGGAATCCTATATGAGGGATAAGCATTCAGACCCTCATAGCAGTGTTCTGGAATCCTATATGAGGTACAAACATTCAGACCCTCATAGCAGTGTTCTGGAATACTATGTGAGGGACAACCATTCAGACCATGGCAGTTCTGAAATGCTATGTGAAGGACAAACATTCAGACCCTCGTAGCAGTGTTCTGGAATCCTATGTGAAGGACAGACATTTAGACCCTCGAAGCAGTGTTCTGCAGTCTTAAGTGAGGGACAAAAATTCAGACCCTCGTAACAGTGTTCTGGAATGCTTTTTGAGGGACAGACATTGAGACCCCAACAGCAGTGGTCTGGTATCCTATGTGAGGGACAAACATTCACTCCTCACCAACAGTGTTCTGTAATCGTATGTGAGGGACAAGCATTCAGACCCCAGCAGCAGTGTTCTGGAATCTTATGTGAGGGACAAACATTGAGACCCTCGTAGCAGTGTTCTGGAATCCTACGTGAGACACAAACATTCGTACCACAGCAGAAGTGTTCCGGAATCTTATGTGAGGGACAACCATTCAGATCACAGCAGGAGTGTTCTGGAATCCTTTGTGAGGTACAACCATTCAGACCACAGCAGGTGTGTTCTGGAATCCTATGTGAGGGACAAATATTCAGACCCTCATTGCAGTGTTCTGGAATCCTTTGTGAGGGACAAACATTCAGACCCCAGCAGGAGGGTTCTGGAATCCTGTGTGAGGGACCAACATTCAGACCCTCGTAGCAGTGTTCTGGAATGCTATGTGAAAGACAACCATTCAGACCCTCATAGCAATGTTCTGGAATCCTATGTCAGGGACATTCAGACCCCAGCCGCAGTGTTCTGGAATCCTATGTGACAGACAAACATTCAGACCACAGCAGGAACGTTCTGGAATCCTATGTGACGGACAAACGTTCAGACCATAGCAGCAGTGTTCTGCAATCCAATGTGAGGGACAAACATTCAGAGACCAGCAGCAGTGTTCAGGAATCCTATGTGAGGGACCAACAATCAGACCCTCGTAGCAGTGTTCTGAAATCCTATGTGAGGGAGAAACATTCAGAACCCAGCCGCAGTGTTCTGAAATCCTATGTGACAGAAAAACATCCCGACCACAGCAGCAGTGCTCTGGAATCCTATGTGCGGTACAAACTTTCAGACCACAGCAGGAGAGTTCTGGGATCCTATGTGAGGGACAAACTTTCAGACCCCAGGAGCAGTGTTCTGAAATCCTATGTTAAGGGCAAGCATTTACATCCCAGCATGAATGTTCTCAAATCCTAGGTAACGGACAAACATTCAGACCACAGCAGGAGTGTTCTCGAATCCTATGTGAGGAACAAATATTCAGACCACAGAAGGAGTGTTCTGGAATACTATGTGAGGGACATTCATACCCTCTTAGCAGTGTTCTGGAGTCCTATGTGATGAACAAACTTTCAGACCACAGCAGGAGAGTTCTGGAATCCTATGTGAGGGACAAACTTTCAGACCCCAGGAGCAGTGTTCTGAAATCCTATGTTAAGGGCAAGCATTTACATCCCAGTGTGAATGTTCTCGAATCCTAGGTAAGGGACAAACATTCAGACCACAGCAGGAGTGTTCTCGAATCCTATGTGAGGAACAAACATTCAGACCACAGAAGGAGTGCTCTGGAATACAATGTGAGGGACATTCATACCCTCTTAGCAGTGTTCTGGAGTCCTATGTGGTGAGCAAACTTTCAGACCACAGCAGGAGTGTTCTGGAATCCTATGTGAGGGTCAAACATTCAGACCACAGCAGGAGTGTTCTGGAATCCTATGTGAGGGCAAACATTCAGACCCACGTGGCAGTGTTCTGGAATCCTATGTGAGGGACAAATATTCAGACCACAGCAGGAGTGCTGTGGAATCCTATGTGAGGGACAAACATTCAGAACCTCGCAGCAGTGTCCTGAAATCTTATGTGAGGGAGAGACATTTAAACCCTCGCAGCAGTGTTCTGGTATCCCATGTGAGGGACAAACATTCAGACCCTCCCAGCCATGTTCTGGAATTCTATGTGAGGGAAAGACATTCAAACCCCAGCAGCAGTGTTCTGGAATCTGATTTGAGAGGCAGACATTCAGACCCCAGCAGCAGTGTTCTGGAATGCTATGTGAAGGACAAACATTCAGACCACGGGAGCAGTGTTCTAGAATCCTACGTGAAGGACAAACATTAAGACTCTCATAGCAGTGTCCTGGAATCATATCTGAGGAACAACCATTCAGACACCAGCAGAAGTGTTCTGGAATCCTAGGTGTGGGAAAAACATTCAGAACCTAGTAGCAGTGTTCTGGAATCCTATGTGAGGGACATACATTCAGACCACGGCAGCAGTGTTCTGGAATGGTATGTGAAGGACAAACATTCAGACCCTTGTAGCAGTGTTCCGGAATTCTATGTGAGGGACAAACATTCAGACCACAGCATCAGTGTTCTGGAATCCTATATGACGGACCAACATTCAGACCCTTGCAACAGTGTTCTGGAATACTAGGTGAGGGAGAAATATTCACACCCTTGTAGCAGTGTTCTGGAATTCTATGTGACTGACAAACATTCAGACTCCAGCAACAGTGTTCTGTAATCCTATGTGAGTGACAAACATTCAGACCCCAAGAGCAGTGTTCTGAAATCCTATGTTAAGGGAAACATTGAGACCCCAGCATGAATGTTCTGGAATCCTATGTGAGGGACAAACATTCAGACCACGGCAGGAGTATTCTGGAATCCTATGTGAGGAGCAAACATTCAGACCACAGCAGAAGTGTTCTGGAATCCTATATGAGGGATAAGCATTCAGACCCTCGTAGCAGTGTTCTGGAATCCTATGTGAGGGAGAAGCATTCAGAGCACAGCAGGAGTGCTCTGGAATCCTACGTTAGGGACAAACATTCAGAACCTCGTAACATTGTTCGGGAAACCTGTGTGAGGGACAGACATTTAGACCCTCGCAACAGTGTTCTGGAATCCCATGTGAGGGTCAAGCATTCAGATCCTCACAGCAGTGTTCTGGAATTCTATGTGAGTGACAACCATTCAGACTCCAGCAGCAGAGTTCTGTATTCCTATGTGAAGGACAAACATTCAGAATCCAGGAGCAGTGTTTTGAAATCATATGTTAAGGGCAAACATACAGACCCTAGCATCAATGTTCTAGAATCATATGTGAGGGACAGACATTCAGACCCTCGCAACAGTGTTCTGGAATCCTAGATGGGGGACAAACATTCAGACCCCAGCAGCAGGCTTCTGGAATCCTATGTGGGGGACAAACATTCAGACAATGGCAGCAGTGTTCTGGAATCCTACGTGAGGGACAAACACTCAGAGCCTTGTAGCAGTGTTCTGGAATCCTATGTGAGTGAGAGTGCCTGGAGCCTACCCAAACTGACGCCCCCAAAGCCTTCACAGGGTCTGACCTCCCAGCATGCACCTGCCTCTCCCTGAACCCCAACTACCCACCCTGCCTGTTCCCTGGCCTCCTTCATCCTGTGCAGCCCATAGACTGTGACCATCTCTGCAGCCACTCTGGCCCTTCCTTTACCTTTGTCCTCTCAGAATCTCTGAGCAGGATCTCCCAGGTCCATCCAAACATGTGCTTTGTCCACTTTCGACTAGGCCCTTGGGCATCACTGGGCTATCGCAGCTGTCCACAGGGCCTTAAATAATGCACATTGCACCTGGCTTATCCAAGCAGTGCTCAGCAGCCCACATTGACCAGGTCCCTGCTGACCAGACCCCGCACATCAGGTCCTCCCTGATGACACCCTCACTGATTAGACCCTCATGACCAGGCCCCACTAACAAGGCCCCCACTGCCAGGCACACAATGACAAGGACTCCACTGACCAGGACCTTACTGACAAGGCCTCACTGACAAGGCCTCACGGACCAAGTCCTTACTGACAAGTCCTCACTGACTAGGTCATTATTGACAAGGCCTCACTGATCAGGTTCCACTGATCATGACCTCATTCCCTGGCCCCAAAGATGAGGCCCCACTGACCAGGCCTCCAGGGAACAGGTTGCCACCGATCAGGCCCCTAATAACCAGGACTAAGGTCACCAGATGCCCCTGACTGGGACCCTAGTGAGTAGACCCCACTGAACTGGAACCAAATGCTGAGATCCCCGCTGACCAGGTCACCCTGTAGAACAGTGCTACAAAAGTCACCACTGACCAAGTCCTCTCTGACCAGGACGCTACAGATTAGGTCCCGCTGACAAGGCTGCCCTGACCAGGGCCCCACTGACAAGGGCCTCACTGATGAGGACACGCCCACCAGGGTCTGCTGACTAGGTCCCATGTGCCCAGTCCTCCACTGAATAGCACCCCTTGACCTTGTCACCGGTGCCGCAGCCCATGCTGACCAGGCCAGCACTAAGCCCCAGCTGACCAGGTCTCCACTGATCAAGCCCCACAGCCCAGGTTTGCACTGACCAGACACCAAACAACTGGCAGCCAATAGGTCCCCACTCACCAAAACCCCCACTACTAGACCCCACTAATGAGACCCTCTCTAAGCAGACCCCTGCTGACCACGATCCCACTAAATAGTCCTCACAGACCTAGGTCCACTGACCAGGCCCACACTGATCAGGCCCCTCCTAACCACACCGGAAATCCAAGCGGCAATGACATGTTTCATATGGCAGAAGTTGGAACAAGACAGAGGAAAGAGGTTCCACAGCCTTTTAAACTACTAGATCTCATGAGAACTCACTCACTGTCAGGAGGATGGCATTAAGGGCTTGGTGCTTTGCCATTTGTGAAGGATCCACTCCCACTCCTTTATGATTAAAGCTTTTTCCACCTAGGCCCCGACTCTAACATTAGGGAGTGTACTTTCACATGAGTTTTGGAAGGGGCATAGAGAAAAACCGTATTATTCTGTCCCTGACCCCACAAATCTCATGTCCTTCTCACATTGCAAAATACAGTCATGCCTTGCCAGCAGTTTCCCAAAGTCTTAACTCATTTCAGCATTAACTCAAAGTTACAAAGTCCAAAGTCTCATCTGGGTCAAGGCTACATTCTCTTTTGCCTACGAGTCTCTGAAATAAAAAGCAAGTTCACTGTGTCTAAGGTACAATGATGGTACAGACATTGTGTAAGCTTTCCATATCCAAAAGGGAGACATTTTCCAGAAAGCTTCTTATTTTTATCTGAGGCCCCCTCAGCCTGGCCTTCACTGTCCATGTTTTCGTCAGAATTCTTGTCACAACCATTTAACCAGTCTCTAAGATAGTCCAAAAATGTTCTCATCTGTCTGTCTTCTTTGGAGCCCTCCAAACTCTTCCAACCTCTACCCATTACCCAGTTCCGAAGTTGCTTCCACATTTTCAGGTATCTTTATAGCAATGCTCCAGTCCTCATTTGCCATTTTTGGTAAGATTTATTTTGAAAAAGAGGTTTAATTGGCTCATGGTTCTGCAGAGTGGACAGGAAGCTTAGTGCTTCTGCTTCTGGGGGGCCTCAGAAATCTTTCAATCATTGTGCAAGGTAATGAAAGGGTGAATTGTCTCACATGGCAAGAGGAAATCACGGAGAGTAGGGAGTGATATAGAGTTTTCAGTGGCCAGATCTCACGACAAGTCACTCATGATTGTGAGGACAGTACCAAGGGGATAGTGCTGAACCACTCATGAGAAATTTGCCTTCATGATTCAATCACCTTATACCAGGATCCACCTCCAACATTAGGAAGCATAACTCAACATGAGATTTGGTGGGGACACATATTCGAATTGCCTCATCAGTCTTTGTGTATAAAGACATCCATAGCAGGCTTTATCCAGCCAGCTTCTTTGGGATTCTTTATATGGTTTCAGGTCTATAGCATATCCACTAAAATATTCCTACTTCAAAAGGCAATAAAGTAAGTGGTATTATCATTCTTCAAAAAGTTATAATGGTAGTGTAGGCATTCATAGTATGATTTAGTTCATTTGCTACTGTTTCTATTCTATCACCATATTAACACTTTCCTACACAATTCTATATTCAGCTGGGTTTCAGTTGAGCACAAAGTCATCCTTGTACTACCACCGATAGCTGGCACTAGCTCTTTGATATTGTTATCATTCTGCTGTAGAAAGTACCCGTGAACTGGAAAAAGTCCACAATCTAATAGCTAGTCATCCAACACTATCAAATTTTAGGTGACTTTTTGAAAAAATAGTATCTCCTGTTGCAAGAAATGCTCCATCTGTGATTTCAAGTCTCTCGCTTGAGTGGATTGGATGGAAGTGGTGAATTTCAGCCAAAGTGGCCAAAGAAATCCTGTTCCTGTGATAATGATGCCATCAGCCTCTGTACCTGTGTCTTCCCTTCTGCCACATGTTGCCTGTTCTCCATGACTGTGGTAAGAGCTTCCTTGTGTATGAGGATGATGTCCAGGATGTTGGTCTGGTGTCCCTGAGACAGCACTAACAGGTCCGTGGCTGGGTCCAGGTCCTTCCTGGACGGATTGGCAAGGAGCTCACTGATGTTCTTGAAGGCATCTCTGGTGAAGTGGATGGCCTAGTCAAGTTCCAAGGCCTGGCTGAGGCTGAAGAAAAACTGGCCGCCTTCTGAAGCTCTTTCTAAAAGCCTGTCACTGTAATCTGCTTGCATGTCAACTCATTGGCTGTGAGGTTGAGCTGAGTGGCCTGTGTCCATCTTCTTGGGGAAGTATTTGAAGCCATCAATCTTGCTCTCCCACCCCTAAAGGTTGATGGTCACCACGTGGGGGTGTGCTGAGGGTCAGAAAGAAGCCAGCACTCACTATCTCATCCTTCTCAGCCTTCCTCTTGCACTCTCTCCAGGCTGTCTCTTCAGTGGTGGTGGGATATATCAGAAAGTGATGGAAGATGTGGCACTGTGCCCACACCCAGAAGCTGGCCATGTGGTTGGCTCATCCACCAGAATGGATGCTCTGGTTGTTCTTTGAGCCAGCTTGGCCTTGCCTGGCATGCACAGGCCCCAGGTACAGACACGTTGCTCCGAGTGAACTTGTCCTGCCTTGGGCCAAATTCTGTCAGGCCAGGGCCACAAAAGGCCGAGTCTCACGGGTGGTAATCCTGGCTGCTTTCTGCACTTCAACATAAAAGCCTCCTGAAGATGGCCTGTGGTCTGCCTCTTTGCAACCAAGAAGCCCGCAGTGCCACATGAGCCCTGAGGCATGGACTGGAGCCCCCAAGGCAGCGCACACCCTGCTCCTGAGCGTGCTGCTCATTTTCTCTGTGTGGCTCCATTTGTGTCACAGTTGTTGCAATGACTAGTGCATGCTGTGGAAGGCCAAGCTGGCTCAAAAAGCAACCGGCCACCTCTGCAAGGGTGTGCCTGGAGCTGGTGGACCAGCCACCAACCTGACTTGCTGCCGGTCAGGGTACATCAGTTCTTCTACCCTACAGGTAGGGCCACAGTGCTATCTGCTTTTCCTCAGGCCTCTGCTCCATCAGCCATCAGGAGGCAGCCCCTCAGGCTGTAGGAATCTGGCCATCCCTGCTTCCTTGAGTGGGTGAGGTTGGTGGTTGCTCCACCTGCTCCAGGCACACCCTTGCAGAGGTGGCTCCTTGCTCTTTGATCCAGCTTGGCCTTGCCTGGCATGCACAGGCCCCAGCTACCTATATGCTGTTCCAAGTCAGCTTGTAGTGTGTTGGGCCAAATTCTACCTCTGGCCAGGGCCACAGAAGGCCGAGTTCCCTGGGTGCTAATCCTGGCTGCTTTCAGCACTTGAACATAAAGTCCTCCTCAAGACCGTCTGTGGTCTGCCTCTTGGCGACCAAGAAGCCTACAGTGCCATACAAGCCCTGAGGCATGGACTGGAGCCACAAAGGCAGTGCACACCCCATTCCTGAGCCTGCTGATCATTTCCTCTTTATGGCTCCATTTGTTATACACTTGTTGCAGTGAGGCTTGTGCATGCCAGGCAAGGCCAAGCTGGCTCAAAGAGCAAGCAGCCACCTCTGCAAGGTGTGCCAGGAGCAGGTGGATCAGCCGTCAACCTCACTCACTGTCAGACGTGGTACATCAGTTCTTCTACCCTAAAGGTGGGGCAGAGAAGTAGACCACAGGCCGTCTTGAGGAGGACTTTATGTTCAAGTGCAGAAAGCAGGCAGGATTACCACCCAGGGGACTCAGCCTTCTGTGGCCCACAGTGCCATATGAACCCCAAGGCATGGACTGGTGCCATCTGCTTTATACAAAAATTAACTTAAGATAGATTAAAGAGTTAAACATGCCACCTGCTTTTCCTCAGGCCTCTGCTCCATCAGCCATCAGGAGGCAGCCACTCAGGCTGTGGAAACCTGGCCATCCTGGCTTCCTTCAGTGGGTGAGGTTGGTGGCTGGTCCACCTGCTCCAGGCACACCCTTGCAGAGGTGGCTGGTTGCTCTTTGAGCCAGCTTGGCCTTGACTGGCATGCACAGGCCCCAGGTACTGACACGTTGCTCTGAGTGAGCTTGCCCTGCCTTGGGCCAAACTCTGTCAGGCCAGGGTCACAAAAGGCCGAGTCCCACGGGTGGTAATCCTGGCTGTTTTCTGCACTTCAACATAAAGTCCTCCTGAAGATGGCCTGTGGTCAGCCTCTTTGCAGCCAAGAAGCCCGCAGTGCCATATGAGCCCTGAGGCATGGACTGGAGCCCCCAAGGCAGCACACACCCTGCTCCTGAGCCTGCTGCTCATTTTCTCTGTATGGCTCCATTTGTGTCACAGTTGTTGCACTGACTTGTGCATGCTGGGCAAAGCCAAGCTGGCTCAAAAAGGAACCAGCCACGTTTGTAAGGGTGTGCCTGGAGTGATTGGACTAGCCATCAATGTCACCCACTCAAGGAAGCAGGGAATGCGTGTTTGTACCATGCATTTCACTACAGGTACATTTCCCCTGAGGTTGGTGGCCTAGGTTTCTTCTAGATTTTTTATTGTTGTAGGTCTTGCATTTAACTCTTTTATCCATATTACTTAATTTTTGTTTAAGGTGTATGGGTGTGGCCCAGTTTCAGTTTTCTGCATAAGACTAGCCAGTTTTCCCAAGATCACTTATTAAATAGGGTATCCTTTACCCATTGCTTGTTTTTGTCAGGTTTGTCAAAGATCAGATGGTTTTAGATGTGTGGTGTCATTTCTGAGGCCTCTGTTCTGTTCCATTGGTCTATAGATCTGATTTGGTACCAGCCCCATGCTGTTTTGGTTACTGTAGCCTTGTAGAATAATTTGAAGTCAGGTACTGTGATGCCTCTAGCTTTGTTGTTTTTGCTTAGGATTGTCTTGGCTATGTGGGCTCTTTTTTGGTTCCATATGAAATTTAAAGTAGTTTTTCTAATTCTATGAAGAAAGTCAATGGTAGCTTAATGAGGATAGCAATGAATCTATAAATTACTTTGGGTGGTATAGCACTCAGGCACAGAAATGTCCTTGTGTTAAGCAATACCATTCAGGACAGAGCCATGGGCAGAGACTTCATCACCAGAACACAAAAAGCAATGGCAACAAAAGCCAAAATTGACAAATGGGATCTAACTAAACTAAACAGTATCTGCAGTGCAAAAGAAACTATTATCAGAGTGAACAGGCAACCCACAGAATGGGAGAAAATTGTTACAATCTATCCATCTGACAAAGGGCTAATATGCAGAATCTACAAAGAACAAACTTACAAGAAAAAAAACAAACAACCCCATCAAAAAGTGGACAAAGGATATGAACAGACACTTACCAAAGAAGACATTTATACAGCCAACGAACATGTGAAGCAAAGCACATCATCACTGGTCATTAGAGAAATAGAAATCAAAACCACAATGAGATACAATCTCACAGCACTTAGAATGTCTATCGTTAAAAAATCAGGGAACAACAGATGCTGGACAGGATGTGGAGAAATAGGAATGCTCTTACACAGTTGGTGTGAATATAAATTAGTTCAACCATTGTGGAAGACAGTGTGACAATTCCTCAAGGATCTACAACTAGAAATATCATTTGACCCAGCAATCCCATTACTGGGTATATACCCCCAAAATTATAAATCATTCTAATATAAAGACACATGCACCTGTCTGTTTATGGCGGCACTTTTCACAAAACCAACGACTTGGAACCAACCCAAATGCCCACCAATGATAGACTGGATAAAGTAAATGTGGCATATATACACCATGGAATACTATGTAGCCATAAAAAAGGATGAATCCACGTCCTTTGCTGGGACATGAATGAAGCTGGAAAGCATCATTCTCAGCAAACTAACACAAGAACAGAAAACCAAACACCACATGTTCTCACTCATAACTTGGAGTTGAACAATGGGAACACATGGACACAGGAAGGGGAACATCACACACCAGGGCCTGTCAGCGTGGGGGGCTAGGAGAGGGATGGCATTAGGAGAAATAACTAATGTAGATCATGGGTTGATGGATGCAGCAAGCCACCATGGCATGTGTATACCTATGTAACAAACCTGCATGTTCTGCACATGTACCCCAGAACTTAAAGTATAATTAAAAAAAAAAAGAAATTTGTTTTTAATTAAGCTTTTAATCATAGAACTTGTAAAGAAAACCCTTTTGAATCTTTTACTACCACATCATAGCTGGGACAAACTGCTGACGTTTTAAAAGTAACACAAATATCAAACAGAAAGAACTAGACTTAGGAACCAAACTCAGGTTTCTGTAGTGAACAGGGCAGAATCTTCACATTGGGTCACCACAGCTACTCCTTCAGTTTGGCCTTGGCTAGCAAAAGGGTGACCTTTTTATGTAGATGAGACCACTTACGTAAAAAAAAAAAGGTTTAAAAAATAATTTCTGCTAACTGGAATGCTTTTTGTTGTTGTTTATTTGTTTGTTTTTTTGCAGCCATAGGAATTTTAGCCAGTTCAGATGCCTTGCTCCCCACAATTTGGAACATTCCTTTGGATTTGACCAAGTCAGGAAGAGATGGGAGAAAAGTGAAACAACAACAATAAAACCCCAAGCATAAACAAACAAAGAGTTAAGCAAAACAACAAATGCACAATTCATATGATTACTGAGTGTTCTAATGGTAAGGAGAAATTAAAAGCAGAAATTAAAAGCAGCTGGTGAGTAATCTTAAATTTTATTCATTAAGGAAGAATTTTAAGACAAAACTCTAATTCAGCTACTTACCTGGAAATAAGGCTCAGGCTGGTGGTCGTTCTCTGCCATCTTAGAAGCTGGAAAAAACTTACACTCACCTTCCCCGTCAGAAGCAAGCTGAAACTCAGGAAAGGAGGTGCCTGCTCTCCATCATCATGGAAGCAGGAAAACTTGCCTTCTTTGTTGGAAATGAGTAAAACTTCAGAAAAGGAGTTGTACAGCAAAATCAACCTTAGTTCTCAACCAGATTTTGGGAGATCAGGGAACCTCTGCAGGGGAGAATCTCCACAACTTCAGCAAATTATCCTGTTGATTTGGGCAATAAAGATAGCCCAGGTTGGTATCAAGCAATAATGAGATTTATCAAAGGTCAGGACCACCTTTGTATGTCTTTCTCTGTCTTTTTTTTATCTTTATTGGTATATACGTTTTGTCGAAACTAGGAGTGCAACACCTGCTTTTTTCTGTTTTCCGTTTGCTTGAAAGATTTTTCTCCATTCCTTTATTTTGAGCCTATGTATGGCACCGCATGTGAGATGGGTTTCTTGGAGACGGCATACTCAAATGGGTCTTGGTTCTTTATCCATCTTGTCCCCCTGCGTCTTTCAATCAGAGCATTTAGCCCATTTCCATTTAAGGTTAGTAATGGTATGTGTGGATTGGATCCTGTCGTCATGCTGTCAGCTGGTTATTTTACAGACTTGTGTATGTGGTTGGTTTTTAGCATCACTGGTCTGTGTACTTCGGTGCATTTTTGTAGTGGCTGGTGATGGTCTTTTCTTTCCATATTTAGTGCTTCATTCAGGAGCACTTGTAAGGTAGAACTGGTGATAATGAATTCTCCCAGCATTTGCTTGTCTGAAAAGGGTCTTGTTTCTCCTTCACTTATGATGCTTAATTTTGCTGGACATGAAATTCTGGGTTGAAATTTCTTTTCTTTTTTTTTAACCATTTAACTCTCTAGCTCTCATTTTAACCATTTTAACTCTCTAGCGGCCTTTAACATTGTTTCTTTCATTTTGACCTTGGAGAATCTGATGATTATATGTCTTGGGGATGATCTACTCGTGGCATATCTTACTGAAGTCCTCTGGATTTCCTGAATTTGAATGTTGGCCTGTCTGGCTAGGTTTCGGACATTCTCATGAAGGATATTCTGAAGTATGTTTTCCAAATTGGTTCCATTCTCCTCATCTCTTTCAGGTACATTAATCAGTCATAGATTTGGTCGTTTATATAATCCCATATTTCTCAGATGTTTTGTTCATTCCTTTTCCTCCATTTTTGTCTGCCTGTTTTATTTCAGAAAGCCAGTTTTCAAGCTCTGGGATTCTTTCCTCTGTTTGGTCTATTCTGCTGGGTGGTCTTGCACATGAGATGGAGCTGTTCTGACCTCAGCCCTCCTTAGTCTGCTTGCCTCTCCCAGGACCCCAGCCTGGCCACACCTGCTTACAGGGCAATATCGGGTGCCCACACACACTACAATAATTTTCATAATGCAATCACACATAATCACCATGTGACTCCATTATGAAAATTCTTGTAGTGTGCTTTTCAGCTCTATTAGGTCGGTTATGCCTTCTTTATACTTGCTATTTTGTCTGTTAGCTCCTGCAATGTTTTACAATGATTTTTAGCTCACTTGTATTGCATGACAACATACTTCTTTCACTCAGTGAACTTTGTTCCTACGCATATCCTGAACCCTGCTTGTATCATTCCAGACATCTCAGCCTCAGCCCAGTTCTGAACACTTGCTGGAGAGTTGATGCAGTCATTTGGAGGAAAGAAGGCATGCTGACTTTTTGAGTTTTCAGTGTTCTCACACAGATTCTTTCTCATCTTTATGGGCTTATCCACCTTCCATCTTTGAGGTTGCTGACCTTCGGACAGGGTATTTTCGTTTTATTGTATTTGATGATCTTGAGGGTTTCATTGTGGTATAAGGTGGATTCAACCAACTGGCTTTGTTTTTGGAGGATTTGGGGGAGGCCAATGTGCAGCTCCCAATTCCTGGACTGTGTGCTTTAACTCTAGGGAACTTGTCTTAGGCCCCAACTTTGTTCTCTGGCTCCTCGAGATTTGGAGTCCACTGCACTGAGGGGACCGAAGTGTGGCAACTGTGGCGGAATGCGAGTGGATGCAAAATTCCCTTCCTCCCTGCGGGCGTTCACCCAGTGGTGGAGGCAAGACAGCTGGGGTGTGGGCCAGGGCTCCCCTGCTGTGTGTGTGTTGCACTGGAGGTAGTGTTGGTTCAGGGTGAGCTGCTGGCCAGTGCAGACCATGGTGCCTTCTCTGTGCCCCTCAAACAAACAGTGGTCGCTCAGGGTATAAGAAGGTCCCTTTTTCTCTGCACAGCATTAGCTCAAGGGTGAGGTGCTGGCAGGGGTGGGGTTCTTGGTTCTGTGCCCACCAAGGCTCTGTCTTCAATGGCAGTTGGTGTGGGTTGGTGTGTGTGCTGCACTCCCGTGTGCTCTCAGGGCAAGTACAGCAAAACCCACATGTGTAAACACACACAGCAAAGTGATGTAGGATGTTTCCATATAAAGGGCTGCAGTATGGAGAGGTAATGTGCAGACTGGTGCGTGGCTGTTGGGGCAACCTTGCTGCAGCTCTCCACTGATCAGCTACGGTCCACTAGCACGGAAGCTATGCTGTGGGCATCCGAGAGTGCCCTGTAAGCAGGTGTGGCCAGGCTGGGGTCCTGGGAGAGGCAAGCAGACTAAGGAGTGCTGAGATCAGACCAGCCCCATCTCATGGGCAAGACTGCCCAGCAGAGATCAGGTCTCAGAGGAGAACTCCCTCAAAAGTGAACCCCCAGCACAGCATAGCTGCTTTACACAAACATGGCCAGTCTTCTTTTTTAAGCAAGTCCCCTTTTTTAAGAGGCGAACTCTGGGACCTGATCTCTGCTGGGCAATCTTGAACATGAGATGGGGCTGATCTGAGCTTAGCATTCCTAAAGTGCTGGGATAAAGTGTCTCACAAGGGCAAGTGGAGCCTAGAGAGATAGCTGTCCCTGCCCTCTGGGCTCCACATCACCTGACTTGCTGCTCCACCACTCTGCTTGTCTCCTAGGTGCTCCATCCCGGAGAGATGTGAGTTAGCAATCACTTAGCGTAATCAGCCCAGGATGGAGGGTCTGTGTTGTAAGCCCAAGCCAGGGTTCCCTCTCTGGTGATGAGCAGTGTGGGGTGTGTGGTACCCGTGGGAGATGGACTGGCTTGTTCGTTGGGTCAACTGCAGCTTATTGGAGGTGTCGATATGGCACTTAGGGTCTTTGCTCCCTTGATATTCTGAGGGTAGCAAGGGCAGTTCCACTGCAGAGACAGTGGCAGAGGGAATTTCCTTTGCTCCTGGAAGCTCTGTCCAGGGAATTGCTGAGTTGCTACTGGCTTGAAAGCTCCAATGGTGGACTGGCTGGAGACCCAGGCCAGGAGGACTTGTCCATCAAGTAGACTGTCCGGCCACTTTTCTGTCAGGCTGCTGTGGTATGCTGGGGGTCCCTCCAGTCCCTATTTGCCTTGTATTTTCCAGGGAAGATGATAGCCTGCCCCTTCCTCTGGGAGCTCTGTGCCACTGAGGTACGAACTTGTTGCCAGTATGAACACACCTATAAGATGTGACTGGAGACAAGTTGAGAAGTCTTATCTAGTCAGGAAGAACAAAAACAGGCACTGACTTAAAAAAGAAGTCTGGGCACGTTTTTCTAGAGCAGCTGTGCTATGCCGGGTGTTCACTTCCACTCCTGGTTGCCTCAGACACTCTGAAGCCCTAATGCTGAAATGGCTGAGTTGCCCCAACAGCAAAGACAACAGTCTGGTCCTCCCCCTGGGAGCTCTGACTCAGGGAGGCCTGAAACCTCTGTCGGACAGAGAACAGCAGTGAAGGCAGCTGGAGACCCTAGTTGAAAGGCTTCACCTGCTGATTAGAAATGTGGTCGGGGACTGACTTAAACAAGAGTCTGGCCACGTTTTTGTAGTGTGGCCATGCTTAGCTGAGGTTCCTCTTCCACCCCTTGTCACCTTGGGCTTTCCAAAGCCCGCAAACCAGAACGGCTAGTCACCCAAACAGCAAAGGTGGTGGCCTGCCCCTCTCTCTGGGAGCTCTGTCCCGTGAACACTTCAAATTTCTATTGGCCAAGGAATGCTGGTGGCGGTAGCTGGAGGCCCCATTTGGGAGGTCCTGTACAGTGATGTGCGACAGGGTCGGGGGCCTGCTTACAGAACCATTCTGGCCATGATTTGGTAAAGCAGCTATGCTGTGCTGTGGGATCTCTTCTGCCCCTTGTCGGTTTATACTCTCCAAAGCCCTCAGGCTGGAATGACTAAGTTGCCTGAACAGGAAAGATGGCGGCCTGCCCCATCTATTCTCTCAGAGTTCATCTTGTTTGATGGAGCTTAATTTTTAGCCTGTTAATTTTATTGTCTACATTAGACTTCTTCGGAAAGAATCTGCTATATTTTAGGTTAGATATATGAGAATTCATTGTTTTCTGTAAATAAACCTGTTCATGTCTTGTTCTCTGGAAAGAAATCTCTTTCAACTATCTGACTTTGGTCACAGTCATGTAGAGCAGTAGCCAGTCTATAATGACATAATTGAATTTCCATTTCCAGTGTTTTGTTTTTGTGTCTTACATTGTACAGTTCAGAAATGAGCATTTTATTCCCAATTGTCAAAATGCTAAGCTGTCCACTGTACTGAAATACTGTTTTTGTTAATGCTTCGTCATTCAATTTTCTTTAAGGTGAACATTTTTATCCAACTTTTCTCAAGTCAGAGTACAGGTAAGCCCTGGCTGCCTCGAGCCACTCTCAGGGAGACCAAAACCCTTCATACATTCCAAGTTGGGGTACAAAAAAGTGGGGCCATGAAGGCTAGTCATTCAAAATAAAACAAAATTTAAAAGTATTAAGGCAAAGATTTAAAAAATTTTGCATTACATAATTTACACAAAAGCAATGCTATCGCCTACCATGTGTGAACTCGGGAGAGGACTGCGCCATTCTCCTTAGAGAGAAGTAGGGTGGCTTTTAGGAGGGCAAGGGGCTTCCTGAAACAATGCATCTCACAATATTTGGAAAGACTATTGAAAAGAAGAACATTGTACAATCAAAGTCCTTGGCGACATTGTAGAACTAGCGGGTGCTGACCCCTGAGCCACAACCACAGTTCTGGGTTTGGGGTTTGGTAAAACCACCCCAAGGACAGAGTTCTGGGGCCGGGTTTTGGAGGAACCAAGGCGCCTCCCAGGGATGGTGTGTCACTCCTGCTTGCCATGAAATGTGCACACAGGCTGTCCCCATGCCCATCCCATCCTGCTGGACAGGATGGAGGAAGTGAGGGAACAGGCAGGGTGGACAGCTGGAATTCAGGGAGAGGCAGGTGCATGCTGGGAGGTCAGGACCTGTGAGGGCTGTGGAGGCATCAGGTGGAGTGGGCTCCAGGTGCACCCTCAGTGCACAGGGCAGGTTTCAGGCCAGGCTCCCTGGACCCCGGCTGGGTGATATGGTCACTCCCTGGGGGACTGCTGTCAGACCCTGGCCACCCTCCCTGGGCAGCACCGTCCCATCCCAGAACTGGACTTTCTGAGTCCTAAAACAGGACAGTGATGCCCAGGCCTGACAGACTTGGAGGACCTGTGAAGTCCTCCATCCCTAGACCAGCCTCCCAACAGCAGGGACAGTCTCCTACTTTTACCTTCAGGGCACTGACTGATACATCACATTCTAAGGCAACCAAGGCAGAGCTGAGGACCTGTGCCAGGCTGGGAGCCAGTCCTCTCCCTAAATGGGCCTTAGAGAAGCCTCATCCCTGTCCCAGTGCACTGCAAGTTTCAGCCCAGGAGACACATAGGGAAGTGAGGACGGGGCCTCCCCACTGGCTGACCCTGGAAAAGCGGGACCTGGGAGAAGAGGGAGTGCAGGGCTGGCAGGGGATGCTCCAGGCCCATGGGGAGCTCAGGCTGCACCAAGGGGCTGCCCCTCCTGGGCTGGAGGCTGTGCCCTCTACAGTATCTGAGGAAGTCCAGTCCTGAGATGGGACAGTGCTACCCAGGGTGGGTGGCCAGCACCTGACAACAGTCTCCCAGCAAGTGACCACATCACCCGGCCAAAGTCCAAGGAGCCTGGGCCAAGACCTGCCCAGTGCGCTGAGGGTGCACCTGGAGCCCACACCACCTGACGCCCCCACAACCCTCATAGGGTCTGACCTCCCAGCATGCACCTGCCTCTCACTGAAACCAAGCTGCCCACCCTGCCTGTTCCCTGGCCTCCTCCATCCTGTGCAGACCATAGACTGTGACTATCTCTCCAACCACTCTGGCCCTTCCTTTACCTTTGTCCTGTCAGAATCTCTGAGCAAGATCTCCCAGGTCCATCCAAACACCTGCTTTGTCCACTTTTGACTGGGCCATTGAACACCACTGGGCCACCCCAGCTGTCCACAGGCTCCTTGATAACATGCATTTCTCCTGACATCTCCCAGCAGTACTCAGCAGCCCCCATTGACCAGGTCCCTGGTGACCAGATCCAGCATATCACTTCCTCCCTGACCACACCCTCACTGATTAGAGCCCCATCACCAGGCCTCACTAACTAGATTCCCGCTGCCAGGCCCACAATGACCAGGACTCCACTGACGAGGACCTTACTGACAAGGCCTCACTGGCAAGGCCTCACTGACGAGGTCCTTACTGACAAGGCCTCACTGATCAGGTTCCACCTATCATGACTCCATTGTCTGGTCCCACAGACGAAGCCCCACTGACCAGGCCTGCAGGGAACAGGCAGCCAGTGACCAGGCCCCTGCTAACCAGGACTGAGGTGACAAGATGCCCCTGACTGGGACCCTAATGACTACACCCCACTGAACAGGCACACACTGCTCAGATCCCTGCTGACCAGGTCACCCCATAGACCAGTGCTACAAAAGCCACCAATGATCAAGTCCTCTCTGACCAGGCCCCCACTGATTAAGTTCCACGGACCAGCCTGCCCTGACCAGGGCCCCACTGACAAGCGTCTCTGCTGACTAGGTCCCAAGGTCTCCACTGACCAAGTCCCACAGCCCAGGTTGGCACTGACCAGACACCAAACATTTGTCTACCACTATCAACCCACTCACCAAGACATGCACTACTAGATCCCTCTAATGAGACCCACTCTAAGCAGACCCCTGCTGACCACCCCCCACTAAATAGGCCTCACTGACAAGTCCCAACTGACTAGGTCCACTGAGCAGGCCCACACTGATCAGGCCCCTCCTAACCATATCAGAAGACCAAGAGGCAATGAGATGTTTCATATGGCAGGAGTAGGAGCAAGACAGAGAGGGGAAAGAGGTGTGACATCCTGTTAGACAACCAGATCACATGAGAACTCACTATCAGGAGATCAGCATCAAGAAGACTAACCAATGGTGAAGGATTCTCCAACCACACCACTGCCCAATGCTTCCAGGCAGAAGCCTCCTGCAGAGGCAGAACCTCTTATGAAACTTCCACTATGGCAGTGCAGAAGGAAAATATAGGCTTTGAGCCCCCACACAAGAGGCCACGATCCTCCAGACTCCAGATTAATAAGCCCACCAACAGCTCACACTCTCAGTATGGAAAAGCTACAGGCACTCAACACCAACCCAGCCCATGAGAGCAGCCATGGGGGCTACACCCTGCAAAGCCACAGGTGCACTCTCCTAGTAGAGGTTTCCCATGAGCCTCTGCCTCTGCAGCAGGTTACTCCCACCCTCCCACCACCCTACTGACAACCTACTCCTCCCCACACTATCCCTCCTTTTCCTTCTACCCCAACTCCCTCCCATCCAAGATTAAGTCACCTCTCACATGGCCCACCTCCAACATTAAGGATGACACGTGAGTTTTATAGGGACACACAGCCAACCCATATTATTCTGACCCTGATTCCCCAGAACCTCATGTCCTTCTCACAGAGCAAAACACAATCATGCCTTTTCAAAAGTTTCCAAAAGTCTTAACTCATTCCGAATGTAAAAATTTCAAAATCTCATCTGAGACAAGGTTACAGTCCCTTCTGCCAATGAGTCCCTGAATTTAAAAGGGATTTCTTTTCCTTCAAGGTAGGACAGGCATTGGGTAAGGTTTCTCAATCCAAAGGGAAGAAGTTGCCCAGAAAAATAACACAAATGCAAGTCCAAAACCCAGCAGGACAGTATTCACTCAATCTCACAGCTCCAAAATCATCAAGAGAACTCACTGTAGTGCGGACAGCATTAAGGAGATAGTATTTACTCATTTGTGAAGAATCTGCCCCCCACCCTCACCTTTCACTCCCACCCACAAAATAATCTCTCCCATTCTCCCCATACCCCTACCTCCAACACCCACTCTTCTCCATGATTAAATCACCTCCCACCAGGTCCCACCTTTAACATTCCCCACTACAATTCCACATGAGCATTGGTAGGGACACAGAACCAAATCATATTATTCTGGCTCTTGCTCCCCAAATCTTGTATCCTTGTTACACTGCAAAATACTCTGATGACTTCTCTACTGTCCCCCAATGACTTAACTCATTCCAGCATTTACTGAAATGTACAAGGACTTACAGACCCCATGCAAGTCAAAAACCCAGCAGGCCAGTCATTGAATCCTACAGCTCCAAATCATCTTTTCTGAATCTACATCTCACATCTAGAGCACAGGTGTGTGATGCCTGGGCTTCCAAGGCCTTGGGCAGCTCTGCACCTGTGGCTGTGCAGGGTCTATACCCCACAGCTGCCCTCATGGGCTGGGCTGATGTTGAGTGCCTGTAGCATTTCCATACTAAGGGTGCCAGCTGTTGGTGAGTCTATGAATCTGGAGTCTGGAGAATGGTGCCTCCATATTTAGGGACTCCAGCCCTAAATTCTCCTTCTGTACTGCCCTAGTAAAAGTTTCCCACGAGGCTCTGCCTCTTGGAAAAGATTCTGTGTGAACACCCAGGTTTTTCCGTACATACTCTGGAGTCTAGACAAAGGCTTGCAAGCGTCTAGTTTTGTGCTGTGTGCAGCTGCTGGCTTAACACAATGTGGAAGCCACCAAGCCTTGAAGCTTGCACCCTCTGAAGCAGTGACCCAAGCTGTACCTGTGCATCTTTCAGCCAAGGCTGGAGCTGGAGCCTCAGGAATGCAGCCAGCAGTGTCCTGAGGTTGGACATAGCAGTGGGGCCATGGGGCTGGAGAAGGAAACCATTCTTTTCTCCCAGACCTCAGGGCCTGTGATAGCAAGCGCTGCTGCAAAAGTCTCTGAAATGCCTTCAAGACCTTTTTAATATTGTATTGGCTATTAGCACTGAACTCCTTTTTATGCACATTTCTGAAGACTTTTTGAACTTTCCCACTGATAATCAGCTTTTCTTTTTGGCCACTTGGCCAGGCTTCAAATTATCCAAACTTTTAAGCTCTCCTTCTCATTTAAATACAAGTTTCACCTTGAGGTCATTTCTTTGGTCACATATAGGACCACAGGCTGTTCGACACAGACAGGAAACCTCTTAAGCTTTGCTGCCTAAAATTTCATTCCACCAAGTACACTCTAAATTATCACCCTGATGTTCAAAATTTCACAGGTCTCCAGGTTAGGGGCATTGTGCAGCAACATCCTTTGCTAAGGAAAAAACAAAAGTGACCTTGACTCCTGTTCCCAGCAAGCTCCTCATTTTCATGTGAGACCTTCTAAGCCTGGTGATCACTGTCCATCCTTCTGTCACCTTTTTAATTATAACTATTTAACAAGTCTCTACACTGATCCAAACTTTTCCTCATCTTCTTGTCTTCTTCCAAGACCTCCAAACTCTCCAACCTCTTGCCATTACACACTTCTCAACCTGCTTCTACATTTTCAGCTACGTTTGTCACAGCCTGGCAATGTGGTAAAAGAAGAAAAGTCCATTTCAGGAGAAAAATTAATGCAGGCTTCAGACATTTGCCTGAAAAGAAGCTGAGTGCTGATTGCCAAGAGAATAGGAAAAAGTCCTTGAAGGCATTTCATAGTTCCACTTTATAGCATTATTTTTCTGTATAATCAGAAAGAAAAGAGGTTGAACTGGCTCATGGTTCTGCAAGCTTTAAATAAATCATAGAGGCTTCTGCTTCTGGAAGGACTCAGGAAGCATCCCAATCATACCAGAAGACCAAGCAGCAATGGGATGTTTTATATGGCAGAAGTAGAAACAAAACAGAGAGAGGAAAAAGGTGCCGCACGTTGTATAACCCTGTTATACAACCAGATTTCCTGAGAACTCACTATCACAAGGTGAGTATCAAGAAGATGTTTCTTAACCATTGGTGAAAGTTCTGCCTCCTACCACCCACACCCCTCACTGTTTCCAGGCAGAAGCCTGAGGAAGAGGCAGAGCCACTAGGAAAACCTCTAATAGGGCAGAGCAGAAAAAGTATATGGGCTTGGAGGCCCCACACAGGAGGTTACCATCCTCAGACCCCAGATTCATAGACTCACCAACAGCTTGCACTCTCAGTATGGAAAAGCTACAGGCACTCAACAACAGCCCAGCCTATGAGGGCAGCCATGGGGGCTACACCCTGCAAAGCCATAGGTGCACTGCCCTGGTGGAGGTTTTTCTTGAGGCTTTGCCTCTGCAGCAGGCTACTCCCCCTTACTACTGCCCACGAACCTCTCACTACCCTACTGCCAGCCTACTCCTCCTCATCCTACCCATTTGTTTTCCCTTCCACCCCTACCAACCTCCCGTTTGTGATTAAATCACCTCCCACCAGGCCCAACCTACAACTGTCAGGAATACAATTCCCCATGAGTTTTTGTAGGGAAACACAGCCAAACCATACTATCCTGACCCTGACACCCCCACATCTCATGTCCTTCTCACACAGAAAAATACAAACATGCCTTTTCAAAAGTTTCAAAAAGTCTTAACTCATTCCAGCAGTAACTCAAATGTAGTAAGTTCAAGTCTCATCCAAGACAAGGCTGCAATCCCTTCTGCCTATGAGTCCCTGAATGTAAAAGACAATTCTTTTCTTTCAAGTTACAATGATGGCACAGGCACTGGGTAGGCTTTCTTAAACCAAAGGGAAGGTTTTCCCAGAAAAATAACACAAATGGGACACAGGCCCAATCTGACTCCAAAACCCAGCAGGACAGCATTCATTTATCACGAGAACTCACTATCACACAGACTGCATTAAGGAGATAGTATTTAACCATTTGTGAAGGATCTGCCACCTATCCCCATGTTTCACCCTCACCCACACCATGAACCTCCATTCTCCCACATCCCCCTTCCAACCCCCATTCTCTACCATGATTAAATCACCTTCTACCAAGCCCCACACTTAACATTCCCTATTATAATTCCACATGAGTTTTGGTAGGGACACAGAGCCAAATCGTATTATTCTCCCTTTGGCCCCCCAATCTCACATCCTTCTCATACTTCAAAATACAATGATGCATTCTCTACAGTCCCCCAGTGTCTGAACTCATTCCAGCATTTACTCAAATGTCCATTTGTGAAGGACCTACCCCCTACCCCTGCCTTTCACCCCCAACCCCACCACAATCGCCCCCAACCCTCCCCACCCCTTAATCCCCCCAACCCTCCCCACCCCCCAACCATCTAACCTCTACTCTTCACCATGATTGACTCACCTTCCACCAGCCCCCACCTTTAGCATTTCCCATTAAAATTCTACATGAGTTTTGGTAGAGACACAGAGCCAAAACATATTATTCTGTCCCTGGTCCCCCAAAGTTCATGTCTTTCTCACATTGCAAAATGCAATGAGGCCTTCCCTAGAGTCCCCCAAATCTTAACTCATCCCAGTATTTACTCAAATGTCCAAAGGCCAAAGTCTCCTCTGAGACAAGGCTGCCATATCTTCTGCCCTGAGCCTCTGAAATACAAAGCAAGTTAGCCACTTCCAAGTTACAATGATTGTACAGGCATTGGGTAAGCATTCCAAGCCAAAAAGAAGAAATTTCCCAGAAAGAAGCACAAAACACAGATGGGACTTACAAACCCCCTGCAAGTCAAAAACCCAGCAGGCCAGGCATTCCATCATACAGCTCCAAATCATCTTTTTGGAATCTATGTCCACATCCAGAGCACAGCGTTTTGTGATGGCTGGGATCCCAAGGCCTTGGGCAGCTCTGCACATGTGGCATTGCAGAATCTTCCCCCTACAGCTGACTTCATTGGCTAGGCTGGCGTTGAGTACCTGTAGCTTTTCAACACTAAGGGTGCAAGCAGCTGGTGGGTCTATGAAACTGAGGTCTGGAAAATGGTGCCTCCCTCTATGGGGACTCCAACCCTATACTTTCCTTGTGTACTACCTGAGTAGAGATTTACCATGAGGCTCTGCCTCTTGGAAAAGCTTCTGGCTAGACACTCAGGCTTTCTGATATATTCTTTGGAGTCCAGACGAAGGCTCTGAAGCTTCTAGTCCTGTGCTTTATGCACCTGCTGGCTTAACACTATGTAGAAGCCACCAAGGCTTGGAGCTTGCATCCTCTGAAGCAGTGATGCAAGCTGTACCTGTACATCTTTCATCCATGGCTGAAGCTGGAAAAGGAGCTGCAGGGATGCAGGCAGTAGTGTCCTGAGGCTGCACACAGCAGTGGAGCCATGGGGCTGAGCCAGGAAACTATTCTTTTCTCCTAAACCCCAGGGCCAGTGACAGCAAGGACTGCTACAAAGGTCTCTGAAATGCCTTCAAGGCCTTTTTCCCATTGTCTTGAATTATTAGCATTGGGCTCCTTTTTATGCAAATATCCTAAGCCTTCTTGATTTTCCCCCTGAAAATCAGCTTTTCTTTTTTACCACTTGTCCAGATTACAAATTTTCCAAATGTTGAAGCTCTGTTTCTCATTTAAATATAAGTTCCAACTTATGGTCATTTCTTTCACCACACATAGGAGCACAGGCTGTTCGATGTAGGCAGTACAACTCTTGAACTTTGCTGCTTAGAAGTTCATTCCACCAAATACACCCTAAATTATCACCCTCGAGTTCAGTTTCACAGATCTCCCGGGAAGGGTCACTGTGTAGCCAATTACTTTGCTAAGTCAAAACAAAAAAACCTTGGCTCCTTTTCCCAGTAAGTTCCTCATTTTCATCTGAGACCTTACAAGGCTGGTCTTCACTGTCCATCCTTCTGTCAGCTTTTTACTCACAACTATTTAATAAGTCTCTGCAATGGTCCAAACTTTCCCTCATCTTCCTGTCTTCTTCCAAGTTCTCCAAACTCTCTAACCTCTGGCCACTACCCAATTTGGAACCTGCGTCTACACTGTCAGCTATCTTTGCTGCAGCCTGGCAATGTGGTAAAAGAAGAAAAGTCCATTATCAGGCGGAAACATCAAGATGGCCTCCAATATTTGCACTGAAAAAAGCTCAGTGCTAATAGCCAAGAGAATGGGGGAAATTCCTCGAAGTCATTTCATAACTTCACTTCACAGCATTAATTTTCTGTATCTACATAAAGAAAAGAGGTCTAATTGACTCACAGTTCTTCGGGCTGTAAAGAAAGCATAGTGGTTTCTGCTTGTAGGGGGACTCAGGAAGCCTCCCAATTATACCAGAAGGCCAAGCAGCAATGAAATGTTTCATATGGCAGGAGTAGAAGCAAGACAGAGAGAGGAAAGAAGTGCAATATCCAGTTATACCACTAGATCTCATGAGAGCTCACTATCAGAAGATCAGCATCAAGATGGTGCTTAACTGTTGGTGAAGGATCCGCCCACCACCCCATATCCACTACCCACTGTTTCCAAGCAAAAGCCTGAGGCAGAGACAGATCCGCCTGGAAAACCTCTACTAGGGCAGTGCAAAAGGAAAATATGGGCTTGGAGCCCCCACGCCACCATCCTCCAGCCCAAGAGTCATGGACCTACCAACAGCTCACACCCCCAGTATGGAAAAGCTTCAGGCACTCAACAGCAGCCCAGCCCATGAGAGCAGCTGCAGGTGCTAAACCCTGCAAAGCCACAGGTGCACTGCCTTAGTAGAGGTTTTCCATGAGCCTCTGCCTCTGTGGCAGGCTACTCCCCTCCTGCTACACACCACCCTACAGCCAGCCTACGCCTCCCCACCTTACCCACCTGTTTTTACTTCCAACCCCACCCCTCTCCCATCCATGAATAAGTCACTTCCCACCAGGCCCCACCTGCAACATTCAGGATTACAATTACATGTGAGTTTAGGTAGGGACACGCAGCTAAATCACACTATTCTGACCCTGATCCCCCAAATATCATATCCTTCTCACAGAGTAAAATACAATCATGCCTTTTCAAAAGTTGCCAAAAGTCTTAAGTCATTTCAGCATTAACTCGAATGTAAAAAGTTCCACGTCTCACCTGAGAAAAGGCTACAGTCCCTTTTGCCTATAAGTCCCTGAATTTAAAAGTGAGTTCTTTTCTTTCAAGGTACAATGATGGTACAGGCATTGGGTAAGTTTTCTCAATCCAAAGGGTAGAAGTTTGCCAGGAAAATAACACAAATGTGATCACAGGGCCAACGCAAGTCCAAAACCCAGGAGGCCAGTATCCATTCAATCTCACAGCTCCAAAACCGTCACGAGAACTCACCATCATGAGGAAAGGATTAAGGAGATGGTGTTTAACTACTTGTGAGGGATCATCCCCCCACCCCCACTTTTCACCCCTCACCCCCAGCATAATCCACCCATCATCCTCAATCTCCACCTTCCAACACCCAGTGCCCTCCATGATTAAATCACCTTCCACGTGGCCCCAATTTTAACATTTCTGATTACAATTCCACATGAGTTTCCATAGGGACACACAGCCGAATCTTATTCTTCTGTCCCTGCCTCCCCAAATCTCATGTCCTTCTCACTTTGCAAAATACAGTGATGCCTTACTTACCATTCCCCAAGCCACTATGCTTTTTTTTATAGCCTGTAGAACGATGAGCCAATTAAACCCCTTTTTGTTATGATCATACAGAAAATTAGTACTGTGAAGTGAAGCTATGAAACGCCTTTAATGACTTTTCCCCATCGTCTTGGCTAAAACCCCCAACGTCTTAACTCATTCCAGCATTTACTTAAATGTCTGAAGCCCAAAGTGTCATCTGAGACAAAGATGCTGTCCCTTCTGCTCCTGAGCCTCTGAAATACAAAGCAAGTTAACTACTTCCAAGGTATGATTGTCCAGGCATTGAGTAAGAATTCCCACCCTAAAGGAAGATTTTTGCCAGAGAAGCAATGAAACACAAATGGGACTTACAGGTCCCATGAAAATCCAAAACCCAGCAGGCCAGTTATTAAAACCTACAGCTCCAAAGTCATCCTTTTTTAATCCTTGCCCCACATCCAGGGCACAAGGGCATGAGGGCTGGGCTCCCAAGGCCTTGGGCAGGTCTGCACCTGTGGCTTTGCAGTTTTCAGTCCCCACAGCTGCCCTCATGGGCTGTGCTGGTGTTGAGTGCCTGTAGTTTTCACCCACAGAGGGTACAAAGCTCTTGGTGGGTCTATGAGTCTGGGGTCTGCATGATGGTGGCCTCCGGTGTGAGGGCTCCAACCCCATATTTTCCTTCTGCACTGCCCTAGTAGAGGTTTCCCAAGAGGCTCTGCTTTTTGGCAGCCTTCTGTCTGGACACCCAAGCATTTTCGTACATCTTCCAAAATCTATATGAGGGCTCCGAAGCCTCTGGGCTAGTGCTCTATGGACTCGCTGGCTTAACACTATGTGGAAGCCATGAAGCCTTATAGCTTGTACCCTCTGAAGCAGTGATGCAATCTGTAGCTGTGTATCTTTCAGCCAAGGTCGGAGCAGGAGCTGGGCTTCTGGGATGCAGGCAGCAGTGTCCTGAGGCTGCACACAGCAGCAGGGCCATGGGGCTGGCCCCGGAAACCATTATTCTCTCCTAGGCCCCAGGGTCTGTGACAGTAAATGCTGCTGTAAACATCTCTGAAATGCCTCCAAGGCTTTTTCCCCCATTGTCTTGGCTATTAGCACTGGCCTCCATTTTCTGCAAATTTCTGGAGCCTTCATGAATTTTCCCCCGAAAATCAGCTTTTCTTTTTGACCACTTGGCCAGGCTGCAAATGTTCCAAACTTTTGAGCTCTGCTTGTCATTTTTAAATGTAAGTTCCAACTTGAGGTCATTTCCTCGGTCACACATAACCTCGGTCACACAAGAGCACAGGCTGTTTGATGCAGACAGGATCCCCCTTGTGCTATGCTGCCTAGAAGTTCATTCCACCAGATATGTACTAAATCATCACCCTCAAGTTCAAAGTTTCACAGATCTCGAGGGCAAGGTCGCCCTGCAGCCATGTTCTTTGCTATAGCAAAACAAAAGTAACCTTGGCTCCTGTTCCCAGTAATTTCCTCATTTTCATCTGAGACCTTGTAAGCCTGGCCTTCACTGTCCATCCTTCTGCCAGCCTTTTAATCACAACTATTCAACAAGTGCCTACTATGGTCCAAAATTTCTTTCATCTTCCTGTCTTCTTTCAAGCTCTCCAAACTCTCCAACCTCTGGCTTTTACCCACTTCTGAACCTGCTTTACATTTTCAGCTATCTTTATTGCAGCCTGGCAATGTAGAAGAAAAAGAAGTCCATTTTCAGGGGGAAACTTCAAAAGGCTTCAGATATTTGCATTAAAAAGAAGTCCAGTGCTAATAGCCAAGACGAGGGGGAAATGTCATTGCAGATATTTCATAGCTCCACTTCACAGTACTTTATTTTCTGTATGATCATAATGAAAAGGGGTTTAATTGGCTCATGGTTCTGCAGGCTGTAAAGAAAGCATAGTGGCTTCTGCTTCTGGGAGGACTCAGGAAGACTCCCAATCATACCAGTAGGAAAACAGCAATGAAATGTTTCATACGGCAGGAGTAAGAGCAAGGCTGAGAGAGGAAAGAGGTGCCACACCGTTATATAACCAGATCTCACGAGGACTCACTATCACTAGGTCAGCATCAAGAAGATGGTGCTTAACCATTGGTGAAGGATCCGCCCCCCAACACAGCTCCACCTCCTAGTGTTCCAGACAGAAGTCTGCTGCAGAGGCAGAGGCTCTTGGGAATCCTGTACTATGGCAGTGCGGAAGGAAAATAAGGGCTTTGAGTGACTATGCAGGAGGCCACCATCCTCTAGACCCCAGATTCCTAGACCTACCAACAGTTCACACCCTCAGTATGGAAAAGTGATAGGTACTCAACACCAGCCCAGCCCATGAGAGAAGCCATGGGGGCTAAAGCCTGCAAAGCCACAGGCACACTGCCCTGCTAGAGGTTTCCATGAGCCTCTGCCTCTGCAGCAGTCTACTCCCCCTTCCTACTACCCACCACCCTCCCACCACCCTACAGCCAGCCTACTCTTCCCCACCCTACCCACCCCATTTTTTTCCACCCCTACCCCTCCCATCCATGATTAAATAATCTCCCACCAGGTCCTGCCTCCAACATTTGGCATTACAATTCCACATCAGTTTTTCCAGGGGCACACAGCCAAATCATACTATGCTGACCTTGACCCCCCAAACCTCATATCCTTCTCACAGAATAAAATACATTCATACCTTTTCAAAAGTTTCCAAAAGCCTTAACTCCTTCCTGCATTAACTCAAATGTAAAAAGTTCAAAGTCTCATCTGAGACAACGCTACAGTTTCTTCTGCCTATGATTCCCTGAAGCTAAAAGGGTGTTTGTTTCTTTCAAGGTACAATGATGGTACAGGTACTGGGTAAGCTTTCTCAATCCAAAGGAAAGAAATTTCCAAGAAAAATAACACAAATGGGGCCACAGGCCCAATGGACATCCAAAATACAGTAGGTCAGTGTTCATTCAATCTCACAGCTCCAAACTCATGAAGAGAACTCACTATCAGAAGGACAGCATTAAGGAGATGGTGTTTAACCATTTGTGAAGGATCCACCCCCACCCATGCCTTTCACCCCCAACCCCACCACAATCCCCTCCAACCCTCCCAACCCCCAATCCCCTCCAACCCTCCTCGCCCCCCAATCCCCCAACCCTCCCCGCCCCCCAACCATCCATCCTCCACTCTTCACCATGATGAAATCACCTTCTACCAGCCCCCACTTTTAACATTTCCCATTAATATTCCACATGAGCTTTGGTAGAGACAGAGAGCCAAAACATATTATTCTGTCCCTGGTCCCCCAAAGTTCATGTCTTTCTCACATTGCAAAATGCAATGATGCCTTCCCTAGAGTCTCTCAAATCTTAACTCATTCCAGCATTTACTCAAAGGCCCAAAGCCCAGAGTCTTATCTGAGACAAGTTTACAGTCCCTTCTGCCCATGAGTCACTGAATTATAAAGAAAATTTACTACTTCCAAGGTACAAGGATTGTATAGGCAATGGGTAAGCATTCCCAGCCAACAGAAAAAAATAATTCCTAGAAAGAAGCACAAAACACAGAAGGGACTCATAGGATACATAAATGTCCAAAACGCAGCAGGCCAGTCACTCAATGCTACATCTCCAAAATCATCATTTTTGAATCCTTGTCCCATATCCATGGCACAGGGCTGTGAGGGCTGAGCTCCCAAGGCCTTGGGCAGATCTGCCCCTGTGGCTTTGCAGCGTTCAGCCTCCGTGGCTGTCTCTCATGGACAGGGCTGTTGTTGAGTGCCCATAGCTTTTCCACACCAGGGGTGCAAGCTGTTTGTGGGTCTATGAATCTGGGGTTTAGAGAGTGATGCCTCCCTGTGTGGGGGCTTCAACCTTATATGTCCCTTCTTTGCTCCCCTAGTAGAGGTTCCCCATAAGGCTCTGCCTCTTGGAAAAGCTTCTTCCTGAACATCCAGGATTTTCTGTACATCTTCTGGAGTCTAGACGGGAGCTCCCAAGCCTCTAGTCTCTTTCTCTGTGCACCTACTGGCTTAACCCTATATGGAAACCTTCAAGACTTTGAGCCACCTCTGAAGCAATGACCCGAGCTGTACCTGTATGTCTTTCAGCCATGGCTGGTGCTGGAGCTGCACAGATGCAGGCAGCAGTGTCCTGCGGCTGAACACAGCAGCAGGGCCATGGGACTGGAGTAGGAAACCATTCTTCTCTCCTAGGCCCCGGGGCCTGTGACAGCAAGGGCTGCTGCAGACTTCTCTAAAATACCTTCAAGGACGGTTTCAAACTGTCTTGGCTATTTGCACTGGGTTCCTTTTTATGCAAATACCCTAAGCCTTCTTGAATTTTCCCCCTCAAAATCGGCTTTTCTTTTTGACCACTTGGCCAGGCTCCAAATTTTCCAAACTTTAGATCTCCACTTGAAGTTCCAACTTGAAGTCATTTCTTAGGTCACCCTTAAGAACACAGGCTGTTCAATGCGGACAGGTCACCTCTTGTGTTATGCTGCCTAGATGTTCATTTCACCAAATACATCCTAAATCATCACCCCCAAGTTCCTAGTTTCACAGATCTCCAGGGCAGGGTCCCCGTGCAGCCAGCTTCTTTGCTAAGGCCAATCAAATGTAATCTTGGCTTCTATTAATAGGAAATTCCTCATTTTCATCTGAGACCTTTTAAGTCTGGACTTCAGTGTTTAAACTTTTGTCAGCCTTCTGATCACAAGTATTTAACAATTCTCTATAGTGGTCCAATATTTTCCTCATCTTGCTGTCTTCTAAGCTTTCCCAATTCTTCTGACCTCTGTTTTTTACTCACTCTGAACCTGGTTCTACATTGTCAGCTATCTTTATCAGAGCCTGGCAATGTGGTAAAACAGAAAAGTCCATTTTCGGGGGAAAATTCACGAAGGCTTCAGATATTTGCATGAAAAGAAGCTGAGTGCTGGTTGCCAAGACAAAGGGGAAAGGGCCTTGAAGGCATTTCATGGCTCCACTTCATAGCACTGATTTTCTGTATGATCATAAAGAAAAGAGGTTTAATTGGCTCACTATACAGCAGGCTGTAAAGGAAGCATAGTGGCTTCTGCTTCTGGGAGGATCAGATCAGGAAGCCTCCCAATCATACCAGAAGGCCAAGGGGCAATGAGATATTTCAAATGGCAGGAGTAGAAGCAAGACTGCGAGAGGAAAGAGTTACCACCCCCTGTTATATAACCAGATCTCATGAGAACACACTATCATGAGGACAGCATCAAGAAGACGTTGCCTAACCATTGGTGAAGGATCTGCCTCCCACACCCACCTCCTACTGTTTCCACGCAGTAGCCTCCTGCAGACGAAGAGTTATTGGGAAACCTCTACTAGGGCAGTGCAGAAGGAAAATATGGACTTGGAGCCCCCATGCTACCACCCTCCAGACCCCAGATACATAGACCCACCAACAGCTTGCACCCTCCGTGTGGAAAAGCTACAGGCACTCAACACTAGTCCAGTCTATGAGAGCAGCCATGGGGGCTCAGACCTGCAAAGCCACAGGTGCAATTCCCCAGTAGGGATTTTCCATGAGGCTCTGCCTCTGCAGCAGGCTACTCCCCCTTCCTACTACCCACCACCTTCCCACCACCATACAGCCAGTCTACTCCCTCCCACCCTACCCACCCCTTTTTCCCTTCCACATCCACCCCCACCCATCCATGATTAAATCACTCCCTCCCACTCCCTCTAGTACTCTAATCCCTCCAAGCCCTTCCAATCTTTGTTTGCTACCCACTATTGAGCCTGCTTCTACTTTTTTAGCTATCTGTATAGCAGGTTGGCTAGGTAGCAATAACAAAAATCCCATTTAAGGGGAAACATTCAAGAAGATTTCAGAAATTTGCATATAAAGAAGCCCTGTGCTAATAGCCAAGACAAAGGGAAAAAGGCCTTGAAGACATTTCACAGCTCCTCTCTGCAGTTCTAATTTTCTGTATTATTGTAAATAAAAGACGTGTAATTGACTCATGTTTCTGCAAGCTGTGAAGGAATCATTGTGTCTTCTGTTTCTGGGAGGAATCAGGAAGACTCCTCGTTATATCAGAAAGCCAAGGGACAATGAGATGTCTCCTAAAGCAGGAGTAGGAGGAAGACAGAGTGAGGAAAGAGGTTCCACAGCCTGTTAAACAACCAGATCTCATGAGAAGTCACTCACTATCAGGAGGATAGCATCAAGGTGATGGTCCTTTATCATTCGTGAAGTATCTACCTGCACCATTTTATGACTAAATCTTTTTCCACCTAGGCCCCGCCTCTAACATTACAAAATATAATTCCATAAGAGTTTTGGTAGGGACATAGAGAAAAACCGTATTATTCTGTCCCTGACCCCATGAATCTCATGTCCTTCTCACATTGCAAAATACAATCATGCCTTGCCAGCAGTCTCCCAAAGTCTTAACTCATTTCAGGATTAACTCAAAGTTACAAAATCCAAATCTCATCTGGGTCAAGGCTGCAGTCTCTTTTGCCTATGAGTCTCTGAAAAAAGCAAGTTCACTGCTTCTAAGGTACAATGATGGTACAGGCATTGTGTAAGCTTTCCATATCCAAAATAAAGACATTTTCCAGAAAGCTTATTTCTCTCTGAGACCTCCTCAGTCTGGTCTTCATTGTCCATGTTTCTGTCAGGATTTTTGTCACAACAATTGAGCCAGACTCTAAGATGGTCCAAAAGTTTTCTCATCTATCTGTCTTCTTTTGAGCCTTCCAAACTCTTCCAACCTCCATCCATTACCGGGTTCCAAAGCTGCTTCCACATTTCCAGGTATCTTTATAGCAGTGCTCCAGTCCTCATTTGCCATTTTCTGTATGATTTATTTTGAAAAATAGGTTTAATTGTCTCATGGTTCTAAGCACAGTGCTTCTGCTTCTAGGAGGCCTCAGAAATCTTTCAATAATCATGGAAGGCAAAGAAAGAATTAGTTGTCTCACATGGCAAGGGGAAAACACGGAGAGTAGGGAGGTGACATAGAGTTTTCAGTGACCAGACCTCATGAGAAGTCACTCATTATTGTGAGGACGGTACAAGGGGATGGTGCTGAACCATTCATGAGAAATTTGCCTTCATAATTCAATTACCTTATGCCAGGATCCACCTTCCACATTAGGAAATATAATTCAACATGAGATTCGGAGGAGACACATATTCAAATTGCATCATCAATCTTTGAATATAAAGACATCCACAGTAGGCTTTATCCAGCCAACTTCTTTGAGAATCTTTATAGGGTTTGAGGTCTAGATCATATACACTAAAATATTCATTCTTCAAAAAGCAATAAAGTGGTATTATCATTTTTCCAAAAGTTACAGCAGTAGTTTAGGCATTCATAGCATGATTTAGTTCACATTTGCTACTGTTTCTATTCTATCACCATATTAACTGTTTCCTATACAATTCTCTATTCAGCTGGATTTCAGTTGAGCACAAAACCATCCTTGTACTAGCTCTTTGCTAGTGTTATTATTCTGCTGTAGAAAGTATCCTTGAACTGGAAACAGTCCACGATTGAGTATTGAGTCATTCAACACTATCAATTCCTCAGTGACTTTTTGAAAAAGTAGTATCTCTTGTTGCAAGAAATGCTGCACCTGTGAGTCCATGTCTCTCACTGGAATTGGATGGAAGTGGTGAATTTCAGCCAAAGTAGCCAAAGAAATCCTGTTCCTGTGATTCTGACATCATCAGCCTCTGCACCTCTGTATTCCCTTCTGCCACATGTTGCCTGCTCTCCGTGACTTTGGTAAGAGCTTCCTTGTGTATCTGGATGATGTCCAAGATGTTGGTCTTGTGTACCTGAGACAGCACTAACAGGCCCATGGCTGGGTCGGGGTCCTGCCTGGACTGATTGGCAAAGAGCTCACTGACAATGTGGAAGATGCTCTTTCTTAAAGCCTGTCACCACTCATTGGCTGTGAAGTTGACCTGAGAGCCCTGTTGTCCATCTTCTTGGTGAAGCACTTGAAGCCGTCAATCTTGCTCTCCCACTCCTAAAGGTTGAGTGTCACTCTGAGGGAGGGCTCAGGGCCAGGAAGAATCTGGCACTCACCATCTCATCCTTCTCAGCCTTCCTCTTGTCCTGTCTCCAGGCTGTCTCTTCAGTGCTGGGGGGGTACATCAGGAAGTGACAAAAAATGTGGCACTGTGCCTGCACCCAGATGCTGGTTGTGTGGTTCATCTACCAGATTGGGCCCTTTCTGCACTTGAACATAGATCCACTTCACCATAGATGCATTCCACACTGTCAGTGAGCTCTTTGCCAATCAGCCCAGGCAGGACCTGGACCCAGTCATGGACCTGTTAGTGCTGTCTCAGGGACACCAGGCCAACATTCTGGACATCATCCACATACCCAAGGAAGCTCTTACCAGAGTCATCCTCCAGATGGCCTGTGGTCTGCCTCTTGGCACCTGAGAAGCCCACAGTGCTGTAGAAGCCCCTATGCATGGACTGGAGCCCCAAAGGTGGCACACACCCCGCTCCTGAGCCTGCTGCTCCTTTCCTCTATGTGGCTCCATTTGCAGCACATTTGTTGCACTGAGTCCTATGCATCCCAGGCAAAGCCAAGCTGGCTCAAAGAGCAACCAGCCACCTCTGCAAGGGTGTGCCAGGAGCCGATAGACCAGCCACCAACGTCACTCCCTGCCAGCCAGGGTAAATCAGTTACTCTGCCCTGGAGGTGGAGCCCCAGTGCCATCTGCTTTTCCTCAGGCCTCCACTCCATCAGCTGTCAGGTGGTGGTCATTCAGACTGTGGGAACCTGGCCATCCCTGTTTCCTTGAGTGGGTGAGGTTGGTGACAGCTCCACCTGCTCCTGGCACACCCTTGCAGAGGTAGCTGGTTGCTCTTTGAGCCAGCTTGTTCTTGCCTGGCATGCACAGGCCCCAGGTACTGAGAAGTTGCTCCGAGTAAGCTTGTCTTGGGCCAAATTCTAAGTCTGGCCAGGGCCACAGAAGGCCGAGTCCCCTGGGTGGTAATCCTGGCTGCTGCAGGGAACCCATGGTGCCCCTCCCCTCCCAGGGCTCAGGATGAGGTCCGACTGGGACAGGATGCTTTAGGTATGGGGCTTGTGCCCCAGGAGGGGGCCTCTGTCACACAGGTTGGGTGAGAAGATGTATGCCATGCTGCTGGCTGCTGGCTGCCGGCTGCCAGGGCTTTTGGGATGCACGTTCACCCTTCCTTTCAGGGACCTCAAAGTGACCAGCTTCCCTTTTAAGAATGACTTCCCAAGGCCCAGGAGCCATCTGGGGCTGCAGAGCTGCATGCTGCCCTGGCTTCTTCCATGTTGTGCTGGTCACTACCCACCAAGGGGGATCAGATGCAGGCACGATGCAGGACGGTTGACTCTGGACCTGTGTCTTGGTTATCATGGAGCTGGACTGGGCCAGGTGACAGGGCCCTGATGGGGTTGTCCTGGGTGGTCAGGGGGGTGATGAGAAAAATGCAGAATGGAATTGCTGTGAGGATGAATGAGACGACTGTCAGCACAAAACAGGCACCCGGTGAGTGTTCAGGGATTACCCTCAGTAGCTGCCCAGAGGCCAAAACCACCCACCTGATAGTGACTGTCCCCAAGCCAGGAGGAAGAGAGGAGAGCAGGTCCCACTCACCTGAGTCTGATCAGTGAGCTGTGTTGAGATGTGTCTGTCATCTAGAAAATGGTCCTTCATGCAGAGCTACTCACAGACACTGCTGTGTGTCTCTAACTTCTCCACAACACAGAGGCGATGGGGACTCAGGAAGAGTGATATTGTGGGTTGACAACCCACCACAACGGGAGCCTGCTTGGGTCAACAGGGCTCAGAGTCAGTGTCCTTTATCCCCTGAACTGACATGTGTGTATACAATGTGTTTGTATATGCATGTGTGCCTGTGTGTGTGTGTGTGTGTGCGTATGTGTGTGTTAGTCTTGCTTCTCTGGACAGGCCTAGCTTCTCCACTCATGGGTGCACCCAGGTCCTCATCACTGTCACCTTAGAGCATTAGAGCCTCTATAGGTGCTCCCCAATCTCTGCCCTCCCCACCCATGGTGGTCCTGGGGATGCAGACAGAGGAGAGGCACTGCATACTGCTGAGAGGGCTGGCACCCTCTCTAGGTGGAACACAGGTCATTTGTAAAGTTGTAGGTTTGTCAAGCAGTATTGGATTCAACACATCTTCTCACCTTCTCTTTCCAGCCACCCTCTAGGGTGCCCAGACTCACCTTCCCTGCAGATGGAGGCAAGGAGGTGACAGAGAAAAGCCCCCTGCCTAAGGTCACATAGTGGCCAGCAGGCCACGTACTCACCAATCATCCCTGACCAGGTTCCCAGTGATGAGTGATGAGGCCCCTAATGACCACTCCTCCATTGACCAGGTCCCACTGATCAAGTCCCCGCTGACCATGTCTTCCTAACCAGGCCCACACTTAATAGGCCTCATGGACCAGACCCCACTGACCAATTTTCCACTGACCTGGTCCCCACTGACAAGACCGGGTTCCCACTGACAAGACCACAATTTACCAGGTTGCTGCTGACCCGACCCCCCACTGAACAATTCTCCATGGATGAGTCCCTAGCTGACCGAGCCCCCTCTGACCAGGCCCTCATTGACCAGGCTCCAAGCCACTAAGGCCCCACACTGACCAGGCCTCTGGTATACTGTATATGCCTCACCAACCAGTTTTTCATTGTTTATGTTCCAACTGATCAGGCCCCACTAATAAGGCCACCACTGACTAGGTCCCCCCACTGACCAGGCTTCCAATGATTAGGTCACCAGGTCCCCACTGATGAGGCCTTTACTGAGGAGGCCACCACTAACCAGGCCCCTGCTGATCAGGTCCCACATGACTAGGTCCTGATGACCAGGTCATCTCTGACCATGGTCCACTGACCAGGCCCCAGAGCAAAGGGGTTCAAAGTCTCATTACAATGTCCCCCTCAGCTCATAGACCCTCCCTCCCTGCATGTGTGCCCAGAGGTCAGGCCCTGGGGTTTTTTTTGGGACATGGCCTTTCCTCCAAGACACAGGGAGAGACAGTTGGCCTCAGGCTCCAGGTTCCCAGCTCCACACTCACCCCAAAGGCCCTCTGGGCCCGTCTCAAAGGAGAAAGTGAGGTGGCCTGACACTGCCTGGACACACCATCTACCCTATTCCTGAGCGTCAGAGTGTGAGGAAGGGAGGGACATTTGGCAGATGAGACACACTGTGCTGTTGGGTCTCCCAGGGCCCTTCCCATATAGCCCCGATCTAAAGACACAACACAGAGGCTACAGGAAGACTAATCCAGAACCTCTGAGGCTCAGCCAGGGACCACATGAGGACTCTCTCCAGACAGCCAGAAGGCCCTTTGCTAGTTTCCTGGTACCTCAGTGGATGTGGCAGCAGTTCTTCTGTTGGGGACCAGTGAGTACACACTGGGGAGGGCTCACCTGTGCTTCCTCATTGGCTCCACCTCTGCTTCTAAAAAAAATTACTCATTCCAAAGCTGGGGCAGAGAAAATACAAGATGAGCTTAGAAAATCTTCTGCCAGAAATTAAAAAAGTGCTGGCAGAGTAATGGAGACAAATCAAAGAGACATAAAGTCAGCTTGGAATGTCTACTACTGGCCTAATCTTGGGGAACTGAAGCATCAGAATCAAGAGCTTTCCTTCTCCCTTATTTATTGGTTTTATTTCTCCATGTAGAACAAAGAAGACAATAAGAAAATAATCATCTGGCAACCATCAAAGTAATAATTGTTCAAACACAAGTCATCCATGAAATGCTAAATCTAGTGGGTTCTGAGGAGTAACAAGATATTTACAGAGCCTCAAAGTATCTCCATACAAAATACGGTTGAACTACAAAAAGAAAATCATAACATTAGCATGGACAAACCTGGCAGGTACTCCTTAAGTCTCCTAAGTAATAAAAACTATAAAATGCAAATAAGCCTTCGATGACCTTTACTAACTTTTACTAAAGTATCAATGATGACTTGGTTGTTTAAACAGCTGACATTTGGGCAATTTGAGTATGTCAAACTCAATAATACTGGTTTTCATTTGCAAGATCCACTTAAAACTTAAGGAGGCTAAAAAACATCATTTAAAATACCCTATAAATTATCATCATATATATCATACAAAAATATCCTACTTCAGTAAATATTGTAATGTTATACATTTTATGAGAAACAACTAAAATGTGTAAATAGCCCAGTAATAAAGTTTTATAATCTTTTAAATCATACAATTTTTCTTTAAGACGTTATGGTTAAATATTCTCTTCGTTAGATGTGGCTTACCCGTGGATTCTAGAGAAGAAAGTAGATGGGAGCAAGTGTCCAACACAGCAGCAGCTGGAAAGAAAAATAAAGAATTATGTTCTTTACCTAAAACACTTCAGTTGACTAAGTGTGCGTTTAAAAACTAAAGAGTTGATAACTTTATCAGAGTTAATAAGAATGAGACATATGTATGTGCATTTACAATACAAAATTACTATTTAATAATTTACACATGGCATTAATTCTAATTGTGTTTAAATATCAGAGTTTTTCATTCTTCATTCATGTAATCAACAGCCACATGCTAAGGTACTAGAACCAGCACTGGAATTACAAGATGAAGATGGCATGGTCCACCTCCCAACAGTCATATGCTATAACCTAAAAAAACAGACAGGCAGGCAATGTCCATATAGAGTCAAAGATACCATGACAGGTATACAGCAGGGCACTACAGGAACACATAGAAGGGACATCTACCCACTTTTATGTCAATATCATGGGCTTTCTGGTGGAGGAGATAACATAGGTTGATACCTGAAGGACAAGAAAAAGCTTCCCAGATAGAGGGAAGAGGGGAAGGCAAAGAGCCAGAGGTGAGGAAGAGCCCTGCAGAGTTCCACTCCATCCAGTTTGGTGCTAGAGCAAAGGGCAGAGTGCAGTAAGTGGCGAGAGACAAGGCTGAGTAACTTGACGAGAATTACTTTGATATGGGTGTTTTTATTTCATGGTGAAAAATTTGGAACTTTTCCTGAGAACAAGTGTAAGCCAATGACACAGTAATTGACAGGAGATTTAAAATGTCACCTGTCAAGTGACTGCTTATGAAGGGTTATTGCTCAGCTAAGTATTTCTGAATGAGTCTTATGTCTGTTGGCCTTCAATCTCTACCGAAACCCTGAGAACTTGATGATGCTTTTGTTTTCTGAGAATCGTTTCAGTGTGCTGGCTGACAGTTCCATGAGGATGGCAAAACTTAAGAAAGTGTAGAGTCAGTGAAAAAGAGATGCACAGACTTCTTGGGAACTGTTTAAGCTTTGGAACATGATGAATTTATGGTGTATAAGTACAGTCTTCTCTGTGAAAGTTTCTGTTTTCACATCTTTCATTAGATGTGTGTAAGAAAAAAAATATTGATGTAGTATCTACTAACCCAAGAATGAAAAGGAATGCCATTTGCTTTTTACACTTTATTTCTAAAATAAACCTAAATTTAATTAATAAATTTTGGCAAGGTACTTCTCTTTGTTTCTCTAATTATTTGTTCTATACAGTCCGGCTCCATCTAAAATAAGTAAAAAAAAAAATAATGTTTAATTTAAACAAGAAACATTATCATAAAAATAAGACATCACTTACAAAATGTGACCTTTAGTATTTTTAGTGACTAGACATAACTTGAAGTTTGCTTAAATAGAAAAATAATCACATAAATAAAATAAAATTTCTACTTATTTTAAGATTAGATAACAGAGGATGTATATGTGTAATGCTGTTTAGAGTAATCTGACAAAAATGCAGTTAATATTGATCTATTGCATATACATGATTTTAGAAAGGTAGTGTTTTATTAGTACAAAGGTTAAACAATGGCCAGGCATGGTGGCTCATACCTGTAATCCCAGCACTTGGGGAGGCCAAAGCAGGCAGATCACAAGTCAGGAGATCGTGACCATCCTGGCCAACATGGGGAAACCCCATCTCTACTAAAAATACAAAAATTAGCTGGGCGTGGTGATGCGCACCTGTAGTCCCAGCTACTTGGGATACTAAGGCAGGAGAATTGCTTGAAGCCAGGAGGTGGAGGTTGCAGTGAGCCAAGACTGCACCACTGCACTCCAGCCTGGTGACAGAGTGAGACCCTGTCTCAAAAAAAAAAAAAATAAGTAATTAAAGCCATCTTTTGCAATGAATGGATTGCTTTGAAATTCTTAGAAAACTCTGCCCTTTATAAAAGTTTAACCCATTTTTTACTTCAATAAATTTTATCTGAAAAAGAAATTTCTGTTCTCTACTTATAGTAAACTTTTCTTTTTTTTTCTAGTTTGTATTCTAAATTAACGTGGTACCTCTGTAGGTTTCTTTCAAAGGCATATTTAGGGATGCCGAGGTTTGCAGCACAATAGAACTCATCACACAGGTAGTGAGCATAGGACCCAAGAAGTAGTTTTTCAACCCTGGCCCACTCTGTCCCTCCCCGTTCTTATTTTCCAGTGTCTATTATTCCCGTGTTTATGACAATGTGCACCCAATGTGTAGCTCCCACGTGAGTGAAAACATGAGATATTTGGTTTCTGTTTCTGTGTTGGTTTGCTTAGGAGAGTGGATTCCAGCTGTATCCTTGTTGCTGCAAACGATGTGATTTTGTTCTTTTTATGGCTGCATAGTATTCCATGGTATATATGGAATTTTCCAATCTACCTTGGATTTTCAACGTACCTTGGATGCACCTGGATTGACTCCATGTCTTTGTTATTGTGAATAGTGCTGCAGTGAACATACATGTGTATGCATCTTTTTGTTACAATGATTTATTATCCTTCTGGTATACCCCTAGTGTAGTAATGGGGTTGCTGTATCCAACAGTCTTTCTTACTTCTTAATTTCCAAACTCTCCAGAATAGCTGAATTAATTAACTTTGCCACAAACAGTGTGTGTTCATTTTTCTCCACAGCCTCCCCAACATCTTTTTTAATTTTTTTATTTATTATTTTTTTTAACAAAAGTCATTCTGACTGGTGTGAAATGGTATCTCACTGATGTTTTGTTTGTCATTTTTATGATAATTAGCAACGGCAAGCATTTGTTAATGTTTCTTGGACACTACAAGTGTTATTTTGAGAACTATCTGTTCATGTCCTTTGCCCATTTTTCATGGTGTTATTTATTTTTTGCTTGTTGATTTGTTTAGGTCTCTTATGGATTCTGGATAATAGGATAATAGGCGTTTGCTATATCCATAGTTTGTGAATATTTTCTTCCATTCTTTAGTCTGTCTGTTTAATCCTGTGATAGTTTATCATGCTGTGCAGAAGTTATTTAGCTAAATTAGATCACACTTGTCAATTTTTGTTATTCTTGCAATTGCTTTTGAGGACTTAGCCATAAATTAATTGACAAATATGATGTCTAGAGGAGAATTTCCTAGGTTTTCTTCCAGGATTTTTATAGTCAGAAGATGTACTCTTATGTAAGAAAAGCACAAACATTTTTATTTTTTTTATTTTTATTTTTTTTGAGATGGAGTCTCCATCACCCAGGCTATAGTGCAGTGGTATGATCTTGGCTTACTGCAACCTCTGTCTCCTGGGTTCAAGTGATTCTCCTGCCTCAGCCTCCTGAGTATCTGAGATTACACATGCCTGCCAACACCCCTTGCTAACTTTTGTATGTTTACTGGAGACAGGTTTCATCATGTTGGCCAGGCTGTTCTCAAACTCCTGACCTCAAGTGATTCACCTACCTCGGCCTCCCCAAATTTTGGGATTACAAGTGTGAGCCACCGTGCCTGGCCAAGCACAAAGCTTTTAACATAAAAATGGAACTGAACATTTTAGTGTTTTGTTTAATTAATAAAATGCAATTATTTTGGATTCTACTAAATAATAAACATCCATATGTGGTAAAGTGTTTGGATGCCAATCATTCAGTTGTGATTATGGGTGGGAAGAATTGAGATGGTGCAAATAAACTTTTTTTAAAATTTTTTATTTTCAGGACGGAATCTTGCCCTGTCACCCAGGCTGGAGTGCAGTGGTGCAATCTCAGCTCCTGCAACCTCCATCTCCCAGGTTCAAGCAATTCTCTGCCTCAGCCTTCCTAGTAGCTGGGATTACAGGTGCCCACCACCACACCAGGCTAATATATTTTTTTGTACTTTTAGTAGAGATGGGGTTTCACCATCTTGGCCAGGCTGATCTTGAACTCCTGACCTCGTGATACATCTGCCTCAGCCTCCCAAAGTGCTGGGATTACAGGCATGAGCCACAGCACCTGGCCAGTGCAAAGAAACTTTAAAAGTGACATGGGCCGGGTGCGGTGGCTCATGCCTGTAATACCAACACTTTGAGAGGCTGAGGCAGGCAGATCACAAGGTCAGGAGTTCAAGAAGAGCCTGGTCAATATGGTGAAACCCTGTCTCTACTAAAAATACAAACATTAGCTGGGTGTAATGGTGGGTGCTTGTAGTCTCAGCTACTCAGGAGGCTGAGGCAGGAGAATCACTTGAACCCGGGAGGTGGAGGTTGCAGTGAGTGGAGATGGCACCAAGACACCCCAGCCTGGGCGACAGAGTGAGACACTGCCTCAAAAAAAAGAAAAAAAAAGTGGTATGAACCACAGCTAAACTACAATGAATTAGAGAGTAAGCCAAAGCATCTCAAAGTATATCATCAGTTATCAGGCAATAACATGTAATTTCTAAAACCTAACTTAAATGCAGCTTTTAAAGACATTTTAAATGTGTCAGTTTAGTCACATTTATTGAATAAAGTTAGCAAATGGATATCTCTTGAAAATGAGGGCTCCAGGGAATTAAAAAATGTAAAATTCCCATTTCCTTTCTGTGTTAACACAGCTAATTATGATCTTTACTTCACATGCAAAAGTCAACAGAACAACTCAGTATTTCACCAAATTATAAACAAGAATTACGCTAGAGAAATGAAACCCTAAAGAGAAACGGTCATATAACTAACCTCAGTCAAGTAGTTCTGGCAGTTATTTGAAGTCTGACGGTTTGAAGTAGGAATTCTTATGGGCATTTGGGGAATATATTTTCTGTTGAGTCCTATACTAGTAAGATTTTCAACACAAGGTGACTCTCGACCTTGCCTTGTAGGAAGAGTGCTGAGAAAATATTTCACCTGCTCTTTCTCCCTAAGGAGCTTGGTGATGATCATTGCTATTTTCTTATTCGATTTTTAAAGATAACAAAGACAAATGCTTAGTATTTCATATTTCCTTAAATGAATCTTAATGACTTGCAGTCATTACATTTAAAGTGTTGTCCTGAGAGTAAACCAAATTACCCACTAAATAGTGTTTTCACACCGAAGATGTGTAAGAGCATACCTGTTGTAAGGAATTATAATTTTAAAATCATTCTAAAGAAGCACCTTTGTTTCTAAGGTGATTTACACTGAACAAGCAGTTCAAACAAAGTAGACAGGGAAGAGAAATTCCTATCAGTGGTGTATGGCTCAACAGGCAAAATTTGCTGCCTTCTAAAATGGCTCTACTTGTAAGATTCTGAAGATTCCATTAGAAATACTTGTATTTAAAGGGCAATAATGTGGGAAAATGAATATGTTGATTTGCTTGATTATAAGAACCACTTCACTAGAAATAATTATATCAAAACATCATGTTGTACTCCTTAATGTAGGTTAAGAAAACTAAAATGAATAAAAATAATCTAGGAGTACTTGTGTTTAGTAAACCAGTTTTAGATTTCACCCTTGTACATTTCACCCATTATCTAGAACCAATTAAACATTTGGCACTGAAGAATAATTCAGAGCAACAACTCCTAGGGGAGAACTAGATTGTCTGGTTGGTGATCAAAAAGAACTAAAGCATCTCTGAAGGCAATTAGCCCCCAACACTGTGACCAAGGCCCAGGAGGTGGGACATGTTCTTTCTGCCTTCCACACACTCCTTCAGGCTGAACAAGGTGTTATTTTTTAACCACTTTGTGAATTACACTTCTTTAAAATCCTGTGATAATTATTCCTTATTTCACAAGGATGCCTTTCTGTAACATCTTGAATATGTTACACAAATAGTCTTTCTTGATGCACCCTCTGATGATAATACTAAAGATCACAATCAAAAACGATTGTGGCCAAAGTAGCAGTACCACTTTTCATTTAGGTTGTGATCCACTGAAAAAGAAATTAAACTCATTAATATTTCTATTTAGGGAAATTCTGACAAGTAATTTTATAACAGGATCACTTCATTAATTATAAAGCTTCAAAAATACATAGTGAAAAAAACTAACAGATCAGTTTAATTACATGAGACTTTTCAGGGGAAAAAGCCATACAAAAACAAACAAAAAAAAAATGAGAGGAGAGACAAAAACTATCTTTGACTAACATTAAAAGGTAAGATTATTTACTAACATTGTTTTTCAAAATTACATTGTCAAATTAACATTCACTTCCTACTAATATCCTGAAGCCATCTCACTAAAAATTATGCTTTTGAAACAAATTAATGAGCTTAATTCATTCTCTGAGTGTATGTTTTGACTTACTTCGTTAATTTTTTTGACATGGAATTGTTAGCTTTCAATGCTGCTGCAAAGGCTTCCTTATATTCTTCTAACTCAGTTGTAACCTCTTCATAAGCAGTTTACATTTTGTAGAATTTACATTCTACATCTTTAAGTGTGAGTTCCTTCTTATTTAGTGAAGCCGTATTATCCTTGTTTAACTGCTCTAATTGTTTTTTATATTGTGCTTGTAACTAAAACAAAGGAAAATAATACACTTTTAAAACAATAACATAATTATTATATGTTTGTTGCCTTTCATTTTGAGTCAGTGATTCAAAGAACATTTCTGAATATGTTAAAAAAGAGGCTGAAGCTTAAAATACTTCAGCAATATCAAAACTAATAACTGAATTCAGAATTAAGACTGATTTATAAAAATTTGAAATCATAATTATGTTAGTATTAATGTAATCTGGTCATATAAAAAGTAATAGAATCCATTCATAATTTGAAAAAGTGATCAATGAACAATGTAGCTTAACACCAATTCAAAAGTATCACATAATTTATAAATCACAATTTTTTCCTATGCCAACTGGTCTTAATCATCAAATGACTCCATAATGAGAATCATTACTCTGAAAGATTGATTTTCTCATAATAATAATGGAAATTTAAATATTTAAAAGAAAAAACAGATGCCATTTTTTTCTACAACTCTACAAAGCAGATTGCTACAAGAGAGGCAGAGGAAACACTATATATATATATATATATATATATATATATATATATATATATATATATATAAAATCTCCAAAATATAATTTGCAGTGAAATAAATGAAAGCACATTACAGGTAAACTTACCTGATTTAAACAAGTAACATGTAAATTGATTTCTTTTAATTTTTCTACTGCCTGCATTGCCCTTTCATCTAGCTCTGATTTATAATCTTGTAGTTCACTAAGTTCTACGATACTGTTTTCCATATGTGTCTTGAGATTTAATATTTCTTCTTCCAACATCTTTTGATTCTCCTCAAGTTTTTCACATTCTTGTTGTACCTTTTTCATAGATAATAACTCCTGTTGGATAACTTGATTGTCTTTAGCCAAATTGACACATTTTGAAGATACAGCTTCCTCCTCTGCCATAAGATCATCAAACCGCATAAATAAAATAGTATAGCTTGATAATGAAGTAGGCTGAGAATAATCTAATACAAAACCAATAGCAAATTTTAAAATGCATTTACTTGCAATCAAATGTTATCAGTAATGCATCAGATTCTTCAAATGTGAACCCTTAAATTACTCAGAATTTTAAGAACAATGTTAAAGCTACCATGAGTCATAAAAATATATTCTTATCATCATCTTTGCCACAGAACTTTTGTACTTCATCTTACTTTTATTTTTCTGATAATTTATTTTTGTTCCTCCTTAAATGGCACAAAGTTATCTCCTAGTAAAAATGTCTAATCCCCTTCCCTCATTATCATTCCCCACAATATGTAAAAAAAAGTTTCAGAGATATCATATTGAGTTATTTAGGCCAAAGTCAATACATGGCTCTAGGAATAAGACTTTGAAATTAATATTACACTCTATACTAGGCATGGTGGCTCATGACGGTAATCCCATCACTTTAAAAAGCTGTGGCAGAAAGATCACTTGAGGTCAGGAATTTGAGATCAGCCAGAGCAACATAGTGAGACCCCCATCTCTAGAAAAAAAATTTTTTTAAATTACCCGGGCATGGTGGCTCAGAAATATTCCTCTTCGCTGGATTCTTTTGAGCATTCTACCATTCTAGCCTAGCCCCTACTCCAGAATTAGGAGGGCATTGACCCCCAACAGGTATTTCTCCCCTTGACCCCCTGGAAGTACCTCTTCTGAATCCATCTGTATTACTTGCATCAGGAGTTTCAACTACTTGAGCCCATCACAGCCTAACAAAAAATAATCAAAAACATACAATCCAAGCACTACTTGTTACAATTATATTAGGTATTTACTTCACCTTCCTACAAGTCTCAGAATACTTCAAAGCTCCCTTTGTTATTTCTGATGGTATTTATGGCTCAACATTTTTTTATAGCTACAGGCTTTCACAGAATTCACGTCATTATTGGATCAACATTCCTCAGTCTGCCTTCTCCGCCAATTAAAATACCACTTTACATCTAGTCATCACTTTGCCTTTGAAGCCGCTGCCTGATATCGACACTTTGTAGATGTAGTATGACTATTCTTGTATGTTTCTATTTATTGATGAGGATCTTACTCTTTTAGTATAAATAGTACCATGATTTCCAAAGTTTTGATAGCATCCGAAAAACAGTAATTCACCTAACATTAACCCTAGTAATCAACACCCTATTAGCCCTGTTACTAATAATTATTACATTTTGGCTCCCACAACTTAATATATATATATGTAGAGAGAGAGAAAAATATATATATATGTATAAAATAAATATATATAGAAAAATCTAGCCCTTATGAATGCAGATTTGACCCTCTATCCTCTGCCCACTTTCCCTTCTCCATAAAATTCTTTCTAGTAGCCATCACATTTCCCCTATTTGAGTTAGAACTCGCCCTACTACTACCCTTACTGTGAGCCCTTCAAACAATCTGATACTAATAATCCCTGCGATATGTGTAGCAACTTCACACTTCACCCCCCCGCCGGATATTATGGCCAATATCAGAGTGGAGTGTGCACCCCCTGCAATATGGGGAGTGATATCATCCTCTCCCCACTGGATGTTATGGACAATATCACAGGAGGTTTACTTTCTCTGGGTTATGGGGAAAAATATCCTCCTGTCCCCGCCTGGATGTTAGACATATTTAGAGGGGGGTGTCCACCCCCTGTGATATGGGGAGTAGTAATATACTCTCCTGCCCTGGATGTTATGGACAATATATAGGGAGATATACAATCCCTTCGATATGGGGAGTAATATCATCCTCTTCCCCCTAAACGTTACGAACAGTATCACAGGGGGGTGTACACCCCCTGCAATATCTGGAGTAGTATCATCCCCCTTCTTCCCTAAATGTTACAGAGACTATCACAGGGGTGTGTACACCTTCTGAAACATGGGAATAATATTCTCTTCCCCTCTGGATGTTATTATGGACAACATTACAGCCGTGTGCACCCTCTATGATATGCAGAGTAATATCATCCTCTCCCCCCTGGATGTAAGTGATAATACCACAAACGGGTTTACATCCCCTGTGATATGGGGAGTAATATCATCCTCTTTCCCACTGGATATTAACAATATCACTTGGGGTGTACAACCCCTGTGATATTCGGGATAATATCTTCTAATCCACTGAAAATTATAAACAATATCACCAGTGTACACTCCCTGTGATATTGGAAGTAATATCATCCTCTAATCCCCTAAAAATTATGAACAGTATCACAGGGGAGTGTATACTTCCTACTATATTGGGAGTAATATCATCCTGTCGTCTTCTAAATATTATGAACAATATTACAGGGGATGTAACACTCCCTGCGATATGTGGAGTAATATCATCCTCTCCTTCCCTAAATATTGTGAACTATATCACAGGAGGTTGTACACAATCTGCGATATTGTTTGTAGTATCCAGTGGGAAAGAGGATGCTATTACTCCCCATATCACAGGGGGTGTACACCCCCACTGTGATATATTCAATAACATCCAGAAGTAATATTACTGACAAAATTGCAGGGGGGTGTAAACCCCACCTGTGATACCGTTCCTAATATCCCGGGGAAGAGAGGATGATATTATTCCCAATATTGCAGGGGTTGTACACCCACCCTATGATATTGTTATTAATACCCAGGAGGGGAGACAATGGTATTACTCACAGTATCAGAGAGGTTGTACAGCCCCCCTGTGATAGTTTCTAATATCCAGGGGGTGTATACCACCCTTGTGATATTGTTTCTAATATGTAGGGAGAAGGACAATGATATTACTGTCCGTATCACAGGGGGTGTACAACAAGCCCCCCGGGATATCATTCCTAATATCCATGGGAAGAAAGAATATTATAATATCACAGAAGTTGTACACCCCCTCTGTGATATTGTTCCTAATATCAAAGACAGAAGGGTATGATGTTCTTCCCAAAATCACAGGAAGTGTATACACACCCTGTGCTATTTTTCCTAATATCGAGAGTGAGAGACAATGATACTTCCAATATCGTAAGGAGTGTACACTCTCCCCGTGATACCAGGTGGGGAAATGTTGATATTACTCCAAATGTCACAGTGGGTGTACACACGTTTTGCGATATTGTTCCTAATAGCAAGTGGGGAGGAGGATTGTATTACTCCCACCATATTACTCCCCACACCCCATTATACTGTTCTTAATATCCAGATTTGGAGAGGATGATATTACTCCCAAAATCTCAGGAGGTGTAGACCTCTTCTGTGATACTGTTTCTTATATCCAGGGGAAGACTAGATGATAGTACTCCCAACAGTGCAGGGTGTTACACGCCACCCCCCATGATATTGTCTCTAATATCAAGTTGGGGAGAGGGTGATATTGCTCCAAATAGTGTAAAGGGTGCACACCAGCACTGTGATATTATTCCTAGTATCCAGAGAAGGAGAGAATGGTATTATTTTTAATATCACAGAGGGTGCACACCCCCCTTGTGATACTGCTCCTAACATCCAAGGGGTAGAGGATGAAATTACTCCCAATATCACAGTGGGTATACACCCCCCGTGGTATTGTTCCTAATATCCAGGGGGTATAGGATGATAGTACTATAAATATCGCAAGGGGTGTACACCCCTTCTGATATTGTTACTAATATCCGTGGGGGGAGTCGATGATATTACTTCCAATATCACAGGGCATATACACCCCCCTTGTGATATTGTTCCTAATATCCTGGGAGGAGACTACGATATTACTGGCAATATCGCAGGGTGTGTGCATTCCCGTGATATTGTTCCTAATGTCCAGCAAGGGAGAAAATATTACTCCCAATATGGCGGGGGTGTACACTTCCCATGCGATATCGTTCCTAATATCCATGGGGGAAAAGGATGATATTACTCTAAATGTCGCAGGAGGTGTAAACCGCCCCTGTGATATTGTTCTCAATATCCATGGGGGGAGAGAATGATATTACTCCCAATATCACAGGTGGTGTACACCCCACCTGTTATATTATTCCTAATATCCAGATTGGGAGAGAATAATATTACAGGTAAAATAGCAGGGGGTGTACACTCCGCCTGTGATATTGTTCCTAATATTCCGGGGAAGAGTGGACAATATTACTCTCAATATCGCAGGATGTGTACACCCCCTTTGTGATATTGTTCCTAATATCCATAGGGGGAGAGGGTGATACCACTCCCAATAGTGCAGAAAAGGTACAGCCCTGCTGTGATATCATTCCTAATATCCAGAGGGGACAGGATGATATTACTCCCAATATCACAGAGGGCATACACCCCTTCCCCATGATATTGTTCATAATACCCAGGGGGTAGAGGATGATATTACTCCCAATATCGCAGTGGGTGTACAACCACCCTGTGATATTGTTCCTAATATCCATGTGGAAAGGGTATAAAGTTACTCCCAATATCACAGGGGTTGTACAACCCCCTTGTGATATTGTTCCTTATATTCGGGGGAGAGACAATGATATAGCTGTCCATATTGCAGGTGGTGTACAACCCCCTGGGAATTTGTTCCTAATATTCAGTGGGGAAGATGATATTAATTAAAATGTCACGGGGGGTATACAACCCCTTTGTGATATTATTCCTAATATCCAGGGAAAGAAAGAATATTATTCCCAATATCGCAGGGGATGTACACCCCTCTCTGACACTCTTTCTAATATCCCTGGGGGGAGTCTATAATATTACTGGCAATATCATAAGGAGTGTATAGCCCCTGTTATATTGTTCCTTATGTCCAGCAAGGGAGAAAATATTAATCCCAATATGGAACAGGGTATACACACCCAAGAGGTATTGTTCCTAATATCCAGGGAGGGAAAGGATGATATTACTCCCAATGTTGCAGTGGTGTATAAACCCCCGCGATATTGTTCCTAATATCTAGGTGGGGAAAGTACAGTATTACTCCCAATATAGCAGGGGTTGTACACCACCTTTGTGATATTGTTCTACATATCCATGGGGAAAGAAAATGATAGTACTCCCCAATATCACAGGTGGTGTACAACCCCTTGTGATACTGTTTCTAATATCCATGTTGGGGGAGGATATTACTCCCAATATTGCACGTGTTGCACAGACCCCCTTTGATATTGCTTGTACTATGCAGGGTGTGGGGGGAGAGGATGATATTGGGAGTAATATCACCCTCTCTCCCCAGATATTAAAAGCAACATTCAGGGTGGTCGACACTTCCTGCAATATTGAGTATAATATCCTCTCCCAACCTGGATATTAGGAACAATATCACAGGGGCATGTACACTCCCTTCCTTTCACCATATACAAAAATCAACTCAAGATGGATGAAGGACTTATGTAAGACCCAAAACTATATAAACCCTAGAAGAAAACTTAGGAAATATCATTCTGGACATAGGCGCAGGCAAATATTTCATGATGAAGATTCCAAAAGCAATTGCAACAAGAAGAATTGACGAGTGGGACCTAATGAAACTAAAGAGCTTCAGCACAGCAAAAGAAACTATCAACAGAGAACACCCTACAGAACAGAAGAAAATATTTTCAAATTACATATCTGAAAAAGGTCTAATACTTAGCATGTATAAAGAATCAATAAGCAAAAAACAAACCCACTACAAATAGGCAAAGAACATGAACCCCCACATTCACCATCCTCAAGTCCATGTGCAACTTCTTTCTGGATGCTGGACAAGGACTTGGGTACCAAGAGAGCACTGAACGGGTTAACACTTAAGCCGTCTGTGGATTCTTTTTTCAAAAGACAACGTATGTATGGCAAACAACCATGTGAAAAAATACTCAACATCACTAATCATCAGAAAATCAGAACCATGAGATACCATATCACACCGGTCAGAATGGCTACAATTAAAAAATCAAAACATAACAGACGGTGCCGAGTTTGTGGAAAAAAGGGAATGCTTATACACTGCTGCTGGTGATATAGAAAGGAGACAGGGAAATACTGGGTAGAAGAGAGTGGTTCCCTGGCAAAGCCCTGCCCACAAGCCTGGAAACCCATGGCCCTAAATGGGAACAGGCATTCCTGCTTTTGCACCCAAAAGTTGTCTTTCAGCTCACCATGCACCCCCTGTCCTGTACCCATATATGCCCCAGACCCCAGGCTCCAGAAACAGACAAGCAGATGAGGAGATGGACAGAAGAGCAGAATTGCAGAATGATGTGGCAGAAAGAAGAGAAGGAGCATCTGAATGCCAAGAGGAGTCTGGCTGGCAGTGGTTGGAGAGATCAGCCTCTGGATGGCAAAGCTCCCGGGGAAGATCATCTTCCCATTCCATCCCCTTTCCAGCTTCCCATCCATCCCATTGAGTGCCACCTCCACCACTCAATAAAACCCCCACATTCACCATCCTCAAGTCTGTGTGCAACTTAATTCTTTCTGGATGCTGGACAAGGAACTGGGTACCAAGAGGGCACTGAACAGGTTAACACTTAAGCCGTCTGTGGATGGCAAAGCTAAAAGAGTGCACTGTAACACATGCCCACTTGGGCTGTGGGAGTCGCATGAACCCACCCCTAGACAGTACCATGGCCACTTGCCCTGCCTATTGCACCTGCCTGTCTGCATGCTTCCCTGCCCAGTAAGGGGTTTGACAGCACACACGGTGGCCAGACAAGCCACACCCCTGTTGCACATCCTGCCAAGGGGAGTCAGGGAAGTCTCCAGTTTCATCAGGAATGTAAATTTGTTCAGCCATTGTGGAAAGCAGTTTGGAGATTTCTGAAATAACTTAAAACAGAACTACCATTCAACCCAGCAATCCCATTATTGGGTATATACCCAAATGAATATATATCATTCTGTCATAGACATATGCACGCATATTTTCATTATAACACTATTCACAATAGCAAAGACACGGAATCAACTTAGATGCCTGTTAACAGAAGACTGGATTAAAAAAATGCAGCGTACATACACCATGGAATACTACACACCTATAAAATAGGATGAAATAATGTCTTTTGCAGCAACATGAATGGAGCTGGATACCATTATTCTAAGTGAATTAATGCAGGAACAGAAAACCAAACAAACACTGCATGTTCTCACTTATAAGTGGGGGCTAAACATTGAGTCCACATGGACACAGAGAAGGGAACAATAGACACAAGGTCTACTGTGGGTGGAGGGTGGGGGGAGAGTGAGGATCAAAAAACTCCCTATTAGATACTACGTTCACTACCTGGATGACTACGTAATCTGTACACCAAATCCCATTGACACACATTTTACCCATATAATAAACCTGCACATGTACCCGCTGAACCTAAAATAAATGTTGGAAGGAAATAAAGTTACAACCAACTCTTGTACTATTGTGAGGAAACAATCATATGTGTTGACAAAAAATCAGCTACTAATAGATTTATAATAGTATATATGTAGCAGAAAAATATCAGATATAACTTATATACCCAAAAGTATGACTTAAAAACAGCATGACAATCTTTATGATGGGATATTGTGCAACTACTAGAAGCATATTTTCAGAGATTATTTATTAACATATGATAATGACTACATTGAGTGGTTTTTAGAAGCATGAATTGAAACCATGTATAAGCATGACTTTATTGAACTTATATATAACATTACACACACATTTACATAATTATAAAATAAGTATGCTCATGTTCATAATATGTATTTATTTATATTCATATGTAAGGCCAATAGGAAGTAATCTCTGTATCTGAGTTATTATTTCATAAATAATTTATGCTTGTTCTGTGAAAATAAAAACACTGCTATGGATCTTCCAAGTATCCTGAAAGGATACCGTTTATAATTAAACAATAACAATTTTAGAAATAATTATTTTAAATAAGGCTATGATAAATCTGGTTTCATTGCACACTTTAACTTTGGAACATTTCATGAAGCTTCCCTTGATCACGACTCTCATATTCAGGAGTTTTTTGAGATCAAAATGGGACAATCAGTATGAATCTATTTTTTAGACATGCAAATGGATAACTTTAAATAGCAGTAGCGATATAATCAGAGTGCACAGTTGCTCTGGGACAAAACTTGGAAATGAGCATATTTTTAGATTCTTAATGTTTTACACACTTTAGCATTCCACAGCACCATTACATACTCATTTTTCTACTAGAATACCTTGGTAAAAATTCACAGTAGAGATCAGGCTTGTCCTTCATACATTAACTAATCAAGTAGGAAAGTGCAAATGAGAACACAGTGCCAAACATAGGCACCACATGGAAACAAGCATGGAACTGCCAGGAAGCCATCTTTGTAGCTTTGTAGCCCAATTATATTTTTCCTAATGTATTGCACACAAAACTTGGGGGAAAAAAAAAGAGGCAGAGAGAAAACAGGTTATATCAGCCCTATCTCACAATCCACAAGTTCATCCTGTTAGAGGAGTAACTATGTAAAACAAATTTTATCTGTTGAATGTCCTATTTAGTTAATCGCAAAACTGTACGAGAACACACTTGTGACTTATTTAGCAGCTTGTTTGTTCGCTTTCCACTGGCTTCACAAATGTCCTTTGGAAATAGAATGTACATTTGGAACCTTGTACACCTTTTCTTTCTCCAGTACCCTCTTGTCACTTCCATCACTAAGGTGACAGAAGCAACTAGGGGCAATGCATTTGTAGCACACCTGGGTCAGAGGTATCCTCCAGGGGAAGGATCAGACCTGCTTGAAAGCATGTCGTTGGAATTGGGAGGCTTCTAGTAGCTATAACATAAGCACTGATGTTTACTATTCCCTGCCCTCCACTTTGATCACTCTGGGAAACGTTTTTTTTCTTAAAAAATCAATTGTATTGAAACATAATTTACATAAAATAAATACTATTTTAAAGTGCACAGTTTGCTGAGTTTTGCCAGATGTAACCATCCAGGTGAATAAAATTGATTAAACTGATCTTTCAAATAATAAATTAACTTTGCAATCTTGCTAGAAATTTAATTTGTTCACAGTTTATTATCCATTCTATGTACTGCTACATTCAATTGGTTATTATGTTTTAAGGACTTTTGAGTCTATGTTTATGAGGGATAAACATCAAAGTTGTATAATGCCTTTGTCTCGATTTGGAATCGGCAATACTGGGTTCATAAAATAAGATAGGAAATGTCCCTTTAAATTTTCTTTCTTTTTTTTTTTTTTTTTTGAGACGGAGATTCACTCTTGTTGCCCAGGCTGGAGTGCAATGGCACAATTTCGGCTCTCCACAATCTCTGCCTCCCAGATTCAAGCTATTCTCCTGCCTCTGTCTCCCGAGGAGCTGGGATTACAGGTAAGCGCCACCATGCCCTGCTAATTATGTACTTTTAGTAGAGATGGGGGTTTCTCCATGCTGGTCAGGTTGGTCTCAAACTCCTGACCCCAGGTGATCTGCCCGTCTTGGCCTCCCAAAGTGCTGGGATTACAGGTGTGAGCCACTGTGTCCATCCCTTAAATTCTATTTCTTAAAAAGATTCCGTTCAAGATTGATATTATAGATACTCCTCAACTTACAATTGTCTTATGTCTGAATGAACTCATCCTAAATTGAAAATATTGTAAGTCTAAAACGCATTTAATATATTTAACCTACTGAATATCATGACTTAGCCTCACCTACCTTAAACTTGCTCAGAACACTTACATTATCCTACAATTGGGCAAAATCATCTACCACAAGGCCCATTTTAAAATATTGAGTATCTCATGAAATTTGTTGAAAACTATACTGATAGTGAAAAACTGGTCATATTGATGCTCATCATTAACGTACACAGATGAAAGCACCATTATCAAGTAAGAAGAGCACAAGTCAAACCACTGTAAGTTGAGGACTCTCTGTACTTTCTTAAATGTTTGATAGAATTCACCTGAGAAAGCATGTAGCCTGTAATTATAGAAATCTTTTTTAATTAAAAATATTCTTCAATACATAGAGAAGCTACTACTTTTTCTATTTCATTTTGCATTAGTTTTAAGAATTAGTTTTACAAATAATTTCCCATGTTATTTTAATTGTCAAATGTATTGGCCTAAAGTTTTCATAATTATATTGATGTCTGTAGGTTCTGTAGTTACATCCTCTATTTAATTCCCATTATCTACATTATGTAGCTTCTCTAATTTTTTTCGAGATAATCTTGCTAGCCATTGTTTATTAAAAAAATTTTTTTCAAAGAACCAATTTGTGGGTATATTAATTAGCTCCACCTTTTGTTATTTGCTATGTTGTTGGTTTACATTTTTATCTTTATCATCTTCCTTCTTCTTAATTTGGATATACTTTGCTTATTTTTTAGCCTCTTAAAAAAGAACCTAAAGGTCATTGATTGAAGCCTTTTATTTTCAATATATTACATGTATAAATGTACCTTTAAGAAACGATTTATCTGCATCCCACATTTTATTAAGTTTTTAAAAAATTTTCTTTCAGTTTAAACTATTTTTTTTGTGTGTGAAACTTTTCTTGGCCAATGGGTTTTTCTGAAGTATTTTGTTTAATGTTCAAATGTTGGGGTGTTATTGTACATATCCTACTGTTGTCCATCTCTGGTTCATGATACAATGCATGTTCTCCATTGCACTTAGATAACATGCCTCCATGTCTCTGGAGAATTCCTCAGTCTTTCTAAAATGCTTTTGATGAATACTGGCAGTTATTTTGTAGAATGTCCCGCCTCAATTTCAGTTAGTCTGATGTTTTCTCACGGTTAGGACTAAAGTTATACATTTTGTCTAAGAATACCATAGAATTGATGTTTTGTCCTACTCAGTGCATCATATAAGAAATTACATGAAGTTCATTTATCTTATTATTAGTAATGTTAACTTTGATCACTTGGCTAAGTTGACATCTCCACTTTGAAGTTACTATTCTATAATTATCTTGTGGGAAGATACTTTCATATTATGCAAATATGTTCTTTCCCAACATATATTCACCACTAATCTTAGCATTCCTCCAAGGCTCTTTCTTGCAACAATTATTACTATGATATTTGCAAAGTGATGATTCTTATATTTTATGTCTCCTACATTTAATGAAATCTTACTGTAATAAAATACTACCCACTCTCAATCTTTGGTTTATTATTTATGTCAATATGGATTTTTTTTTTGAGTTGGAGTCTTGTTTTGTCATCCAGGCTGGTGTGCAATGGTGCGATTTCCGCTCACTGCACTTCCACCTTCCGGGATTCAAGCCATTCTCCTGCCTCAGCCTCCGGAGTAGCTGGGACTACAGGCATGTGCCACCATGCCCAGATAATTTTTGTATTTTTAGTAGAGGCAGGGATTCACCACATTGGTCAGGCTGGTCTCGAACTCCTGACCTCAAGTGATCTGCCCGCCTCTGCCTCCCAAAGGGCTGGGAATACAGGCATGAGCAACTGCACTCGGCCTGGATTAATTGAAAATTTTCTTCTGTAGATTGTAATATATTACTATTGTTATCTATTTTATTGCCCCAATTTTCTCAAATTTGGCTATGGAAGTTTATTCAAAGTGGATCTGTTTCCCTTTCACATTTTCCCCATTTTGTGAGCATTTCCTTACTTCCTAACATGACAAAATATTTCAAACTAATCTTGTATTTTCCCTGCCCAATCCTGATATCAAATATGTCCCCAAGGAGCCTTGGTTCCTTTAATTGGAGAATGGTGTTCTCATTGTTACTGGGATGATGTTGTTTCTAGGCCCTTTTGTTAGAGGAGCTAGAAAATATATGTATGTATACTCACACATTTATACACATCTGTACTTATTTATACAATTATCCATCTGTACATATACTAAAAACAATGATTTCATGAAACTTTTGATCCCAATCCAACACTAGATAAAGACTATATAGGCCCATTTATTTGCAAATCAGCACATAAACATAGAAGAATTATTAACAATATAAGCTGTAGCTTATGCTAAATGTTGGTTGGAACAGACAATAAGTTATGGAGAACTTCAGAGGACACTAAGGTTGGATGGGATTTTGGAAGTTGTGCAGGTCAATACCACCCCATCTATTGGCTGAGATTCACTAGGTTAATACATGAACAACAACAAAAATAACCTAGATCAGAAGTTAAAGATCATTTTATTGACTATCTGCCGTGTCTGTGCCATTGCAGTGTACTAGGTGCACTTACGAGTCCTCTACTTACAAACTGCTTCTCACAAAATATGAAACTCCAGGCAAAGGTTCAGACATACGACGTTTGTTTTTAAAATCTTTCTACAGCCTTGTATCCTTTTTCCTTTCCTTCCTTTTACCCTTTTTAAAATGTGTTATGAGTTTTATCTTAGACTAACATCATCTGTAATGTTGCTATACGCCAGTATTCAGTTGCTGTGTTTGATGAATCATAAAATGGTGTAAAACTTCAATTAGTGTACTTTTTAAATAAAGTATCTATGAATGCATCCAGCAAAATGTTTATGATTTGAGTATTCACACAATATTACTTTTCTCTGGATCTAACAATAATGTGAAAACACAAAATGAATATAAAATATTAGCTAATAATAGATTTCAAAGTATTGTACAAGTATGAAAAATATATGATATTGTTACTTTCATATATGTAAAACATTAATCATTTTTGTCAACATAAACATCATCTTTACACCTAAACTTGTATTAATTCAATTAAGAGTTAATATAGTATCCTAAAGTCATCAAATATTCAAAAATAGGATGTATTCTGACTTGGAATATACATAAAATTAACTATTTTCAGCTGAGCAGAGTGGCTCATGCCTGTAATTCCAGCACTTTGGGAGGCTGAGGTAGGCAGATTGCTTGAGATCAGGAGTTTCAGACCAGCCTGGCCAACATGGTGAAACCCTGTCTCTACCAAAAATACAAGTTAGCCAGGCATGGTGGAACCTGCCTGTAATCCCAACTACTCTGAAGGCTGAGGCAGGAGAATCACTTGAACCCAGGAGGCAGAGGATGCAGTGAGCCAAGATTGCGCCACTGCACTCCAGCCTGGGTGACAGAGTGAGGCTCCATATCAAAATAATAATAATAATAATGAGTAATAATAATAATAACTCTTTTCTGTGAGTCCAAAGATAAAATAGCATTACAAAATACCTAATAATCCTGAGTTTGGTTTTCTTGGTTTTATTTTTTCATTTAGTTTTGTTCACTTTGACCAGTGGGCTGGTGGTTCTTAGGTGCACCAAGGTTTTCATTTTTCAGTTCAAGATTTTAAAACCTTAATGTGGTAATTTCTCTAATTTTTTTGACAGTTACGTCCCAGGTTGCAAGTTAAAATAAAATTCCCATTTTACTAAAGTCCTTGGTTTATTAATTATTTTATAATGACTTAATATATAATTTAAGTAATGAGGGGTACTACATTTCAGAAATAAACACTGAAGAACTTATTCATGGAACCAAACACCAACTGTTTTTCAAACACCTATTAAAATAAAAATACATATAAATAATTTTTAAAAATAAACACTAAAAATAAAGTGAAAATGAAAAAATATATATCCAGGTTAAAAAAAAAAACTACTTCAGTTGAACAATAAATACTTTCTGGGGGGACTCAACTCTACTGCAAAATTATTCGTTGTTTATTATAATCAATAATACAGGTAAAAGAATAAGTTTTTAAAAATGGAAAAATTGTAAAAAATAAAACGATATTAACAAATATTGGTATACTGGTGAAGGCCGGGCTCAGTGGCTGCTTTCCAAAGTGGTTACACCAGTCGGGCGTGGTGGCACACACCTGTAATCTCAGCACTTCCGGAAGCTGAAGCAGGCAGATCACTTGAGCTCAGGAGTTTGACACAAACCTGGGGTACATGACAACACCCCATTTCTACCAAAAACTGTAAAAATCAGCTGCACATGATAGCATGCACCTGTAAGTCCCAGCTACTTAGGAGGCTGAGGTGAGAGGATCACTTGTGCCTGGAAGGTCACAGCTGCACTGGCCATGTTCATGTCACTGCACTCCAGCCTGGGCAACAGAGCAAGATTTTGTCTCAAAAAAAAAAAAAGTTGGTGACAATTGGAATAATTGGAACTCACATACATTACTGGTGGGAACATAAAATGGTGTAATCAATTTGGGTGTTTTCTTGGCATTTGATTTTTTTAAAAAATCAAGACATTGTTTCCCTATGTTGCCCAGGGTTGTCCTGAACTCCCGAGCTAAGAAAATCCTCCAAACTCAGCGTCTCAAATACCTGAGATTAAAGGTGTGAGCCACTGTGCCTGACCAGTGTAATCACTTTGAAAAACAACGTGGCCGTTCCTCAAAGACTAAATGTATAGTAATCACATAATGCAACAATTTCACTCCTGAGTGTAAATCCAAGAGAAATAAAAATATATGTTCACACTAAAACTTACGTACGAGTGTTCATAGCAGCCTGACTCATGATGGTGAATACGCAAAAACAACACAAATGTCCATCAACTAATGAATGGATAAACATAAACTATTACTCAGCTACAAAAGGAAAGAAATCCTGATACACACTATAACATGAAAGAAATTTGAAAACATTCTGCTAAGAGAAAAAAAAAAGCAAATTACAAAAGATCACACATTGTACAATTCTATTTCTATAAAAGGTCCAGATTAGGCAAAACTACAATGACAGAAAATAAATCAGTGGTTGCCTATGAACATGGGGTACGTAGGAGGTAGCGGCTAAGAGGTGAGGGTTTCTCACTCATAAGTGGGTAACTCACCAGTGGGTAATCACTTCTAAGAAAGACTGTGGTGATGGATGCACAGCTCCTTGAATATTCTAAAAACCACTCAATTGTATACTTTCTTTTTTCTTTAGTTATTTAAAGACAGGGTCTCCTTTTGTCACCCATGCTGTAGTGCAGTGGTGCCATCTGGTCTCACTGCAACCTATGGCTTCTGGCTCAAGTGATCTTCCAGTCTCATGTCCCCAAGTAGTTGGGACTACAGGCATGAGCCACCACACCCAGCTAATTTTTGTAATTTTGCTAGAGATGCTGTTTTGCCATGTTGCCCAGGCTAGTCGCAAACTCCTGAACACAAGCGATCCACCTGCCTCAGCTGCCCAAAGTCTTAGCGTTATAGGAATTAGCCACTGCACCTGGCCTGAATTGCGTACTTTGATAAATGAATTGCATGATACGTTAATCATATTTCAATAACGTTATTATTTTAAAAATGGCTGGGCATGGCGTGGTGACTCACGCCTCTGATCTCAGCACACTGGGAGGCCAAGGTGGGTGGATTGCCTGATTTCAGGAGTTCGAGACCATTCTGGCCAACATACTGAAACCCTGTCTCTACTAAAAATACAAAAATATTAGCTGAGAGTGGTGACATGTGCCTGTAATTCCAGCTAGTCGGGAGGCTGAGGCAGGGGAGTTGCTTGAACCAGGGAGGTGGAGGTTGCAGTCAGCTGAGATCACACCACTGCATTCCAGCCTGGATGACAGAGTGAGAGTCTGTCTCCAAAAGAAAGAAAGAAAAAGAAAATGGGTATTGAACACAGGTGGCTCCCACCTACATATAATCCAAGCACTTTGGGAAGCTGAGGCAGAATGATCACTTGAGGCCAGGAGTCTGACCACATCCTGAGCAACACAGCAAGATCCCATCTGTACAATAAAAAATAAAGAAGTTAGCTGGGCATAGGGGCAAATGTATGTAGTCCCAGCTACTTGGGAGGCTGAGGTGGGAGGACTGTTTGAGTCCGGGGTTTCAGGCTGCAGTGAACCATGATCATGCCACCGCACTGCAGCCTGGGTGACAGAACAAAACCCTGTCTCTAGAAAGAAAAAAAAAAGAAATCCAAGTTTTTATCACCTTCTGAGAGTAATAAACATTCAGGAGGAACAGAGAAGAACAAAAGACCACTGAATGGTTGAGGGTGGGTTGCTGGTTAGGTTCAGTGGCCAGCTGAGTAGTATCTGAAAAATTCATTAGTAAAATTATGGCACTAGGGGTGAGTCATGCAGTCGAAGGATGAATACTAAATCCAGTACAAACACCCATGGTCTTTCTTTACATGAATTCCAGTGAAAAATTTCTAAGTGCCTAAAATAGCAAGTGGTCTGAAATGATGGCAGCAGTTTATTAAAGACTGAAAAAAGAGGCCAGGCACGGTGGCTCACACCTGTAATCCCAGCACTTTAGGAGTCCAAGGCCAGTGGATCACAAGGTCAGGAGTTCAAGACCAGCCTGTCCAACATGCTGAAACCCCGTATCTACAGAAAATACAAAGCTTAGCCGGGCATAGTGACACGTGCCTGTAGTCCCAGCTACATCAGAGGCTGAGGCAAAAGAAATGCTTGAACCCGGGAGGCAGAAGTTGCTGTGAATTGAGATTGTGCCACTGCACTCGAGCCTGGTGACAGAGGAAGATGCTGTCTCAAAAAAAAAAAAAAAGAAAAGAAAAAGAAATGGCATCTTCAAGAACCACAAGAGAGTTCCGCACTGAAGAAGCTCTGATTCTGCATTTGCTGAACTATGATTTGAGTTAGCCAATATAACACTATCTTAGATAAAGTGTACAAACAACTCAATTTCATCTCCTCATTAATAACTGATTAGTCTAATATCAATTCTGATTTTTAAAAAGCTAATTAGAAAAAGAATTAATTATAGAACCAATAAGAGATTTGAATAGTTACAAGCTATTCAAAGGAGAATTCAAAAAACCACTCAGGTATGAGGCCATAAAGTATGATGAAATAAATTTCATTAATATATTTTAAAATAAACTGATTAGACAGGCAACAACACCTGGGCACGGGTCTCCTCACCTCCAGCAACACAAACCCAATCGCGCAGCTATGGGGTTGAAAAGGCTGCATAGTGACAAACAGACTGCTCTGAGCTGAGATTTCTTTACTTGTATCTGTATTCTGAGACCGGGTCTCACTCTGTCACTCTGGCTGCAATGAAGGGGTGCACTCATAGCTAACTGCAGCCGTGACCTCCTGGGCTCCGGGGATCCTCCTGCCTCACCCTCACCATAGCTACGGCTACAGATGAGCACCAAAACACCCAGCTAATTTTTTTTTTTTTTTGTAGAAAGAGGAGCCTTGCTACGTTGCCCAAGCTGGCCTCAAACTCCCGCCCTCAAGAGATCTGCCCACCTCAACAACCTAAGTAACAGGTTCTACAGGAAAATACCACTATGCCGGGATAATTATATTTTATTAATTTTTATTTGCATAGACAGGAGGTCTTGCTGTGTTGCCCAGGGTGGTCTCAAACTCCTGGACTCAAACCATTCTCCCATCTCTGCTTCCCAAAGTGCTGAAGCTACGGGCATAAGCCACTGCACCTGGCCCGACTTAAGATTTCTGTAATCTAGCATCCCATACTTCATATAATTGGGAAAAGCAGTAGTGTTTTTTTTTTAATTACTTAGTATTTCAACAAGAATCAACCATCTCTCACCATTGCCAGGGCCCTGGTCAGAACCACTATCATCTCCCACCTGGAGGTTGCCACAGCATGGCCTCCCTGCTTCTACCCAAATCTTCCCACAATCTTTCTCAACTCAGCTGCCATGGGATGCTTTTAAATCAGTAGACAGTTCGCGTCACCTCTCTGCTCAGAACCCTTCTGCATCTCCCATCTCAGACAGAATAAAAACCAAAGCCCCAGCAATAGCCTCCTAGGGCTTACACAATCTGTACTGATCTGAGTCCAACAACTCCCTGGCCTCCTTCCCTACTTCTCTCCCTCTCTCTACTCCACAGACCTCTTTCCTGAGCTTCAGACACACCACGGAGTTCCCTCTTAGCATCTTTATTCTGTTGTTTCTGCCTACAATGCTCTTCCCTCAGTACCTTGGCCAGCTCCTTCCCCTCCTTCAAGTCTTTGCTCAATTTTCACTTAGGAGGCCAACCCTGACCACTCTATTTAATATTGCTATCTGTCCCTATTCCTGCCATGCTCACTCATTTCTTTTTTCTTTTTTTTTCTAAGATATAATCTCGCTGTGTCAGTCAGACTGGGGTGCCATGGCACGATCACAACGCACTGAGACCTGGAGCTCCTAGGTCAAGAAATTGTCCTGCCTCAGGGCCTCTAGTAGCTAAGACTACAAGTGCATGCCACCACACCCGCTAATTTTTTTTTCCATGTAGACAGGGTACCATTTTGTTGCCCAGACTTATCGTGAACTCCTGGGCCAAAGCAACCATCCTGCCTCAGCCTCCTAAATAGCTGGAATTATAGGTGTGGGCCACCAATTCTGGCTTCATGTTCATTTCTTCTTGCTGCTGTTACAAACTACCCTACATTGAGTGGCTTAATACACCACAAATCTACTAACTAAGAGGTCTGGGGGCCAGAAGTCCAAAATAGGTCTATTAAGGCTAAAGTCAAGGTGCCAGCAGGACTGCATCCCTTCTGGAGGTTCTGGAGAGAATATGTTCCCTTGTCTTTCCCAGTTGCTAAAGCCACTGCTATTCTTTGGCTCATGGCTCCTAACTGCATCTTCAAAGCCAGAAGCAAAGCATATTCGAATCTCCCTCTGTGACCTGTGCTTCCATCATCAAATCTCCTTCAATTCGGACTCTCTTACCTCCCTCTTTCACTTATAAAGACCTCTTGTGATTGCTGGACACAGAGGCCGTGGCTCACAACCATAATCCCAACAGTTTAGGAGGTCAAAGCAGGAGAAACGCTTGAGGCCAAAACTTCAGGACCAGCCTGGGAAACACGGCGAGACCCCCTCAATTAAACAACAAAAAGAAATAAGAAAAAATTAGCTGGGCATGGTAGTATGCATCTGTAGTTTCAGCTACTTGAGAGGTTGTGGTGAAAGGATCGCTTTAGCCTCAGAGTTCAAGACCAGCCTCGGCAATATAACAAGATCCCATCTCTACAAAAAAAAAATACAAAAATTAGCTGGGCATGGATGGTGTGCACCTGTAGTCCCAGAGGCCTGGAAGGCTGAGGTGGGAGAATTGCTTGAGCACAGGTGGTTGAGGCTGCAGTTAGCTACAACACCATCACTGCACTCCAGATCGGGTGAAACAGAGACTCTGTGTTCAAAAGAAAAAGAAGAAATACACATTTGGTTTCTGCCCCTCATCCTGGCACAGAGCTTCTCAAGCTCTTATAAAGGCCTTGGTGATGAAAGTGATGGGGCATCTTCTGTTTCAATATTTGGTCTTAGTCCCAGGTTTCTAACACAAGAGCCTCTAAGACCTTTGGGATCACCATAGTAAGAATGCATTTGGTGATGTTACTGAGATGACTGGGTGACTGAAAGCTCCTAGACAGCTTCAGAAAAAGGGGTGGTTGTTGTCAGAAGAACAAACCATGTGATTAGAGGCTTGGAACTGTCAGCCTCACCCCCTGGGCTCCAGGAAGAAATAGTGGCCGAAGACTGACTTAATTACCAATGGTCAATGACTTCATCAATCATGCCTGCATAATGAAGCGTTCATAAGCGCCCTCAACAACTGGAGTTGGAGAATGTCTGGGTTGCTGAACACAAGGGTGATACCAGGAAGGTAACATTCACAATAGAGGACATGGAAGTTCTGTAACCCTCTTGACATACCTTGCCCTGTGTGTTTTTTTTTTTTTTTTTGAGACAGAGTCTGGCTCTGTCTCCCAGCCTAGAGTGCTGTGGCACAATCGTGGCTCACTGCGAACTATGCCTCCCTATCTCAAGCCCCATCCTCTCATCCTCTCACCTCAGCCTCCTGAGTAGCTAGAATTATAGGCACTGAGTAGCTAGAACTATAGATAACTGTGCCTGGCTAATTTTTAGAAAAATCTTTTTGTAGAGATGCATTTTCACCTTGTTACCCAGGCTGGTCTTAATCTCCTGAGCACTTAAGCGATGCTCCCGCCTCAGTCTCCCAAAGTGCTGAAATTACAGGCATGAGCCACTGTGCCCAGCATGTACATCTCTTTCACTGGCTGTTTCTGAGATTTAGCCTTTAAAATGAAGAAGTAAAAGAAAATAAATTGGTGAGATGCAGTGGTTCATGCCCATAATCCCAGCATTTTGTGAAGTTGAGGTGGGAGGATCATGTGAGCCCAGAAATTTGAGACCAGCCTGGGCAACATAACAAGACCCCATCTCTACAAAAAGTAAGAGAACATAGCCAGATATGCTGGTACAGGCCTATAATCTCAGCTATTTGGGAGGCTGAGGTGGGAGGATCACTTGAGCCCAGGAGTCCCATGCTACAGTGAGCTTTGATCACACCACTGCATTCCAGCCTGGCAACAGACTGAGACCCTGTATCTCAGAAAAAAAGGAAAACAATCTGTTTTTCTGAGTTCTGCAAGCTGTCCGAGCAAATGATTCCACCCACCAATGGGGGTCATGAAACTCTGTTTTCTAACTGGTTGGTCAAAACTACATGTAACAACCCAAGACTTGCAATTGGCATGTGGAGTGAGGGTAGACTCCTGGGACTGAGCTCCCATCCTGCGGGGTCTGCACTAACTCCAGGGAGTGTCAGGATGGAATTGTGGGATATCCAGTTGGGATCCAGATTGTCTGAAAATCAGTGTAGAAACTCCACATGCACATTTGGTCAGAGGTGTTTGACCGTAACTACTATTCACGAAAAAGGTCTACTCATTAGAACTAAAAATCACAAAATTGTAAGTTCTACAAAAACAAATCAACCTTATCTACCGCCCAGTCCTACTGAACTACAGAATGTGAGAACAGAAGGTCTGACCATGGAGTCGAGAGCTGACAGGAATGTCACCACCATCCTGCTCTCCAAGGACTCCTCATCTTCAACAGACTCCTCATCTTCAATGGGCAGGGTGGAAACTGCAACTTGTGCCATGATCCTTGCACAAGAAAAGTAGTAAGAAAATGAGTGGTAGAAATCCAGTGTCCTAAACTCACATACGGAGCTGTGAGAGTTTTTTACTGGCTGGATAATTCACAGTTTTCTTGAATCAGGGGAAAAATACGACTCAGAAAGTAGGAATTCGTTTTGCCCAAAACTCTCATCAGATACAGAATCCATCCGCTAACTATCTAGTATTATTTCCATAAGTTAGATCAATTATCACTCCCCAAAAAAATGCACATGGCACCCAGAATCTGTGCATTTCTCCCAAGTAAAAGAGGAGGTGGACGGGCGCAGTGTCTCATGCCTTTAACCCCAGCACTTTGGGAGGCCAAGGTGGGTGGATCACCTGAAGTCAGGAGTTCAAGAGCAGCCTGGCCAACATGGTGATACCCTGTCTCTACTAAAAATAAAAAAATTTAGCCAGGTGTGGTGGCATGTGCCTGTAGTCCCAGCTTCTTGGGAGGCTGAGGCAGGAGAATCACTTGAACCCAGGAGGCTGAGGTTGCAGTGAGCAGAGATCACACCACTGCACCTCAGCCTGGATGACAGAGTGAGACTCTGTCTCAAAAAAAAAGGAGGGGAGGAAAGGAGGCAAGGCACTTTACAACCCAGTGATGGGCTACCACAACTCAACACAGCAAAGAGTTGCCAAGCTCCCTTTCTCCCGTGCACAACCTGACACAGAAGAGTTGGTGCAGTGGAATGAGGCTGGATGGAGAGAAGTTCCTCTTCTTTCTTTCCTTTTTTTTTTTGAGATGGACTCTCGCTCTGTCACACAGCCTGGGGTGCAGTGGTGCAATCTCGGTCACTGTAACCTCTGCCTTATGGGTTTAATCAATTCTCTGCCTCAGCCTTCCGAATACCTGGGATTAGAGGCACCCCCCACCACACCCAGCTAATTTTTTTTTTTTTTTTTTTTTTTTTAGTGGAGACTGGGTTTCGCTATGTTGGCCAGGCTGGTCTTGAACTCCTGACTTTAGGTAATCTACCCACCTCGGCCTCCAAAAGTGCTAGGATTACAGGCATGAGCCGCTGTGCCCAGCCAAGAAGTTCCTCTTCTTACTTAGAAAACAGATCACAGGGCATCAAGTAACACGTAAAATCCTTTATAATAAGCAGTATTATTTTTGGAAAACCTTTCCTAATATTTTGGTATCAGCAAAAAGCCTCAGATTAATTTCAAACACTATAAAAATACAATACATAAACAGAAAATATTAACTGTCAGCAAGGCTATAGAGAAATTGGAAGCTGTATGCATTGCTTTTTGGAATGTAAAATGGTACAGCCCACTGTGGAAAATGGTTTAGCAGCTCCTTAAAAATATGAAGCATAGAATTATATGATCCATCAACACCCTTTAAGAGTATATACCCAAAAGAACTGAGAGCAGGGACTCAAACAGGTATTTGTACACCCGATTAACAGCAGCATTATTCACAGTGGCCAAAAGGTAGCCCAAACCTAATGCCCATCAGTAGGTGAATAGATAAAGAAAATGTAATATATACATACACAGAGTATTATTCAGCCATAAAAAGAAAAATATCTGGCCAGATTCAGGGGCTTACACCTGTAATCCCAGTATTTTGGGAGGCCAAGGTGGGCAGGTCTCTTGAGCCCCATATTTTGAGACCAGACTGGACAACATGGCACTTTTGGTTAGAAGTGTTTGACCATAACTACTATTCCAGAAAAAGATCTACTCATTAGAACTACAAATCATAAAATTATAAGTTCTACAAAAACAAATCAACCTTATCTACCACCCAGTTCTACCCAATTATATCATGTTAGAACAGAAGGTCTCACCGTGGACTCGAGAGCTGATATGAGAAATGTCACCACCATCCTGCTCTCCACGGAATCATCTTCAACAGACTCCTCATCTTCCATGGGCAGGGTGGAAACTGCAACTTGTGCCATGATCCCTGTGCAAAAAAGTAGTAAGAAATTGAATGGTAGAAATGCAGTGTCCTAAACTCACATCCAGAGCTGTGAGGGTTTCTCACCGGCTGCCAAATTGTTTTTTGGGTCAGAGAAAAAAATAAAACTTGGTAACCTGGTACTCGACTTGCCCCAAACTCTCATCAGATAGAGAATCTATCCGCTAACTTTCTATCTAGTATTATTTCCATGAAGTTACATCAATATCACTCCCAAAATCAATCCAGGTGGAAGACTAAATCCAAAGCTAGCAGAAGGAAAGAAATAATAAAGAGCATAATTAGAGCATAAATCAATCAAATAGAAGGTTGGAGAGCAGTAGAATGAAAAAATTTAGATTCTTTGAAAGCTCAAACCTTTCACTATATTGACTGAGCAAAAGATGGAAGACTAATTATTAAAATAATAAATGAAAACAGAGCCATTACTACCAACTTTACAGAAATACAAAAGGATTATAGGAGTATACTGTGAACAACTGTCTAGCAACAAATTAGGTGCCCTGGATGAAATGGATGAATCGCTAGAAAGACACAAACTACCAAAGTGGCTCAAGAAGAAAGAGAACATCTGAATAGACCTATAACCTAGGAGATTGAATTAGTAATCGAAAGCGATTAACAAAGAAACATTTATGACCAAATAGCTGCATTAACTGGTGAGTCAACCTAACATTTAAAGAAGAATTAATACCATTTCTTCTCAAACTCTTCTGACAAAATATATGAAGAAGGAATACTTGCTAATTCATTTTTTGATAACAGCATTATCCTTATATCAAAGGATATAATCAAAGGATTGTAAACTATCACCCTTTGAGATTTATCCCCAAAATGCAAGGGTGGTTCAACATATAAAAAATCAATCAGTGTAATATGCTGTAACAGTAAAATGAATAAGCACGTGATTATTTCAATTGATGCAGAGAAAACATTGATGAAATACAACACCCTTCTATAATAAAAATACTCAATAAACTAGGCATAGAAGGGATCTTCTGCAACATGACAATGGGATGTACAAAAACCCAACAGTTAATATCATGATGAATGATGAAACACTGAAAGCTGTTTTCCTAACATGTAGAAGAAAAGGATGGTGCATTTGCCACTTGTATTCAACGTAGCACTGGCAGTTCTAGCCAGAGCAATTAGGCAAGACAAAGAAATAAAAGGCATCTAAATTAGAAATAAAAAATAGGTGTAAAATTATATCTACACATGATCTTATAGGTATAAAGCTCCAAACAAAACACAAAACCGATTATAACTAATAAAAGAGGCAGGATGCAAACAAACATAGGCAAATGAGCTATATTTCTATATAGTTGTAAAGAACTATGAAAACATTTTAAAAATTCTATTTATAATGACATCAAAGAATACGTTATTCAGGCATAAATCTAACCATGGTGGTATACACAAAACATTGCTGCAAAAAACTAAAGAGAGTGGAAATAAGTGGAAAGACATTCTGTGTTCACGGGTTGTAAGACAATATTGTTAAGATGACAATACCATCTAAAGTAATCTACAGATTCAATGCAATACCATCAAAATCCCAAAGGCATTTTTGCAGAAACAAAGAAACTCATTCTAAAATCATACAAAAATTCAAAGGATCTGACAGACAAAAGAGTCTTGAAAAAGAACATTGGAAAACTTACATTTTTCAGTTTCACAGCCTACTACAAATCTACAGTAATCAAGAGAGTGTGGTACTGGAATAAGACCAATAGACTTTCAGACAAATACAATAGAACAGATTTGAGATCCTACAAGTTAGTCCTCACATATATGGTCAATGACTGTTCAACAAGGTGGCCAAGTCTAGTCAAGGGAGGAAAGAACAGTCTCTTCAACAGTTGGATGTCAGTGCACAAGAGAGAAGTTAGACCCCTACCTTGCAGTATATACAAAAATTAATTCTAAATTAATAAAAGACTTAAATGTAAGGACTAAAAATATGTAACTCTTAGAAGAAAACACACGGTAAACCTTTATGACCTTTGAGTTTTAAGTGTATTTTGAAATATGACAGAAAATCACAGATAACAAAAGAAAATACACGAAAATTAGATTTAATCAAAATAAAAAACCCTTTATGCATCAAAGGACACTATCAAGGGAGTGAAAAGACAACCCATAATATGTGAGAAAATATGTATCTGATAAAATCAAAATGTGTATCTGATAAAAGCTTAATATCCCACAACTCAACAACAGAATTTCTAAGATCCCAATTAAAAAAATAGACAAAGGACTTGAACAGACATTTCTCCAAAGAAGATACACAAATGTCTAAGAAGGAAAAGAAAAGATGCTAAACACCATTATTCATTAATAAAATGCAAGGCAAAACCCAAATGAGATGCCACTTTGCATCCACTAGTAAGGCTTTCATAACAACGACACAGAAAATCAATGCTGCTAAGGAGGTGGAGAAACTGGAGCCCTCATGAACTGGCTGCTAGGAATAGAAAATGATGCACTTGCTGTGGAAAACAGTTTGGTGGTTCCTCAAAGAATCACACAGAGAAACAGGCGCCGCTGGCTTGCGGGTTCTCCTGGGCTGGTGCAGGACGTCCCGGAATCGCAGGCGCACATTCCTTCCCGCCTGAGGGCCCGCCTGGCCGTGACTCCTGCCCCTCTCCTCCTCCGAAGAGAGATCGGGGCCGCCCCAGGGGCCGTCTGCAGCCACCGGGGATGGGGCTGAGGGTCGGTTCCTGTCCCGGTGCAGCCGCCCCTGGGCAGACCGCCTGGTTTGGTCGCAGCCACGGCGACATCTAGCCCCAGTTCTGCGAGGCTGGGCGCGCCAGCCAGCTTGGGAGTCGCCCGGCGCCTGAAGCTGTGTGCCCAGGTGGTGGAGCATGCCCTGGGCCGCCTCTGGATCGCGGGTGCCCCTGGCCTGAGAGACTGCCAGACCCTGCCCCGGCCTGGCTCCTCCTCTGTCAGAGCTCCAGATCTCTATCCAGGGGCCCTCTGCAGCCACCGGGGATGGGGCTGAGGGCCGGTTCCCGCCCCTGTGCAGCTGCTGCAGGACAGACCGCCTGGCTTGGCCACAGCCACAGGGACATTTGGCCCTGCTTCCGAGATGTGGTTAGTGTGGGCGAGCTCGGGAGTTGCCTGGAGGCTGCTGCCTGCACGCAGAAGGCGGCTGAAGCTCGGGTGCCCAGGCGGGCTGGAAGTGCATGGCCTGGTCGGCCTTGGGATTGCCAGCGCGCCCAGCCTGAGGGCCCCCAGGCCGTGCCTCCCGACCACTCCTCCACCTGAGGGAGATCGGAGCCGTTTGTATGGGCACTCGGCAGTCACCTCGTGTGGGGTTGAGCGGTGGGTTCTCAGTTCTCGCTCCTGTGCAGCTGCTGCCGCAGGGCAGAATGCCTGGCTTGGCTGCAGCCACTGGGACACGTGGCCCTGCTTCTGTGATGCTAGGAGTGCGAGCGGGCTCAGGGGTTGCCAGGCAGCTGCTGCCTGCACACAGAGGGCGACGGCAGCTTGGGCGCCCAGATGGCGGAGCATGGTTTGGGTGGCCTCTGGAATGCGTGCGCGCCAGGCCTGAGGGTCACCCTGGTGGGGCCACATACCCCGGTCTTCCTCTGCTGGAGCCTGGAGCAGTTGGAATGGCCACTATTCCGTCACAGGGGATAGAGTTAAGTTTTCTTATCCCACCCATGCACACAAAAAGGTGACGATTCTGTGAGGTAATAAACGTGTTAATTGACTACATTCATGCCACTCTGCACCCACAAGTAAGGCTTTCATAACAATGACACAGAAAATAAATGTTGCTAAGGAGGTGGAGAAGTTGGAGCCCTCATGATCTGGCTGTTAGGAATAGAAAATGATGCCCTTGCTGCGGAAAACAATTTGGTTGTTCCTCACAGAATGAGCATTGGGTGAAAAATGAAATCAAGATGGAAATGTAAAAAATTTCTTCGAACTGGATGACACAACCTATCAAGACCTCTGGGATACAGCAAAGGCACTGCTAAGAGCAAAGTTTGTAGTCCTAAAAACCTACATCAAAAAGTCTGAAAGAGCACAAACAGACAATCTAAGTTCACATCTCAGGGAACTAGAGAAGCAGGAATAAGCCAAACCCAATCCCAGCAAACACAGGAAATAACAAAGATCAGAGCAGAACTAAATGAAATTGACACAACAACAACAACAACAAATACAAAACATAAATAAAAGAAAAAGTTGGTTATTTGAAAAGATAAATAAAATTGATAGACCATTAGCAAGATTAACCAAGAAAAGAAGAGAGAAAATCCAAATAACCTCACTAAGAAATGAAACAGGGGATATTACAACTGACACCACTGAAATATTAAAGATTATTCAAGGGTACTGTGAACACCTTTTGGCACATAAACTACAAAACCTAGAAGAGTTGGATAAATTCCTGGAAAAATACAACTCTCCTAGCTTAAATCAGGAAGAATTAGATACCCTAAGCAGACCAATAAAGCAAGCAGCAAGATTGAAATGGTAATTTTAAAATTACCAGCAAAAAAAGCTGAGGGCCAGACAGATTCACAGCAGAAATCTACCAGACATTCAAAGAATGTCTTCTTTCATTCAAGGAAGAAATGATACCAATCTTTTCATACTATTCCACAAGACAGAGAAAGAAGAAACCCTCCCTTATTCATTCTATGAAGCCAGCATCACCCTAATACCAAAACCATGGAAGGACATAACCAAAAAAGAAAACTACAGACCAATATCTTTGATGAACGCAGATGCCAAAATCCTTAACAAAATACTATCTAACTGAATCCGACAACATATCAAAAAATAATCCACCATGATCAAGTGGGTTTTATACCAATGATATAGGAGTGGTTTCACATATGCAAGTCAATAAGTGTGATACACCAAATAAACAGAATTAAAAAAATCTAATATGATTATATCAACAGGTGCAGAAAAAACATTTGACAAAATCTAGCATTGCTTTATGATTAAAGCTCTCAGCAAAATAAGCATACAAGGGACATACCTTAATGTAATAAAAGCCATCTATGAGAAACCCACAGCCAACATAATACTGAATGGGGAAACGGTGAAAGCATTCCCTTTGAGAACTGGAACAAGACGAGGAGCCTACTCTCACCACTCCTCTTCAACATAGTACTGGAAATCCTAGCCAGAGCAATCAGACAAAAGAAGGAAATAGAGGAAATCCAAATCGGTAAAGAGGAAGTCAAACTGTCACTTGTTGCTGATGATATAATCTTTTGCCTAGAAAACCCTACGGACTCCTCTAGAAACCTCCTAGAACTGATAAAAGAATTCAGCAAAGTTTCCAGATACAAGATTAATGGACACAAATCAGTAGCTCTTCCATACATCAACAGCTACCAAGCAGAGAATCACATCAAGAACTCAACCCCTTTTACAATAGCTGCGACAAACAACAACAACAAAAAAACAAAACTTAGGAATATACCTAGCAAAGGAATCAAAGGACCGCTACAATGAAAATTACAAAACGCTACTGAAAGAAATCATAGATGGAGCCAAGCACGGTGGCACATGCCTATAATCCGAGCTACTCGGGAAGCTGAGGCAGGAGAATCGCTTGAACCCGGGAGGCAGAAGTTGTAGTGAGCCGAGATCACACCATTGCACTCCCACCTCAGTGACAAGAGCGAAACTCCCTCTGAAAAAAAAAAAAAAAAAAGAAAGAAAAGAAGTCATAGATGACACAAACAAATGGAAATGCATCCCCATGCTCATGGATGGGTAGAACCAATATTGTGAAAATTACCATTCTGTTAAAGGCAATCTACAAATTCAATGCAATCCCCATCTGAATGCCACCATCATTATTCACAGAATTACAAAAACAATTCTAAAATTAATATGGAACCAAAAGAGAGCCATGTAACCAAACCAAGCCTAAGCAAAAAGAACCTGGAGGTATCACACTACTTGATTTCAAACTGTACAGTAAGGCCATAGTTACCAAAACACCAACGTACTGGTTTAAAAATAGGAACATAGACCAATGGAACAGAAGAGAGAACCCAGAAATTAACCCAAATACTTACAGCCAACTGATCTTCGACAAAGTAAACAAAAACATAAAGTGGGGAAAGGACCCCCTTTTCAACACATGATGTCGGGATAATTGGCGAGGCACATGTAGGGGAATAAAACTGGATTCTCATCTCTCATCTTATACAAAAATCTACTCAAGATGGATTAAGAACTTTAATTCCTGAACTATAAAAATTCTAGAAGATAACACTGGATAAACCCTTCTAGACATTGACGTACGCAAGGATTTCATGACCAAGTACCCAAATTCAAATGAAATAAAAACAAAGATAAATAGCTGGGACTTAATTAAACTAAACAGCTTTTGCATGGCAAAGGGAACAGTCAGCAGAGTAAATGGACAACTCAAAGAGTGGGACCCCTGAAACTGACCCTGACCCATGACCCTGATCCCTAACCCCTGACCCTGACCCCTAACCCCTGACCCTAACCCTAACCCTTAACCGTAACCCCTAAGCCTAACCCCTAGCCACAACCCTCACCCTCACACTAATCCAACCCTAACCCCTTATCCCTAACCCCTAACCTCTCTTAACCTCTAACTCTAAACGTTGACTCTTAACTCTTAACTCTGACCCCAACCCCTATCTCCAACCCCAACCCTAAACTTAACCCCTAACCCCTAACCCTAACACCAACCTTAACCCTAGGTTCGTTACTACGTTTGTACTATGTCAATGTTGATTATTATGATCTCTGTCTTAGGACTGCATGGCAGCAAGGGGATTGCGGATCTTATATTAATATTTTTGTATTGAGGCAGTGCATTAGCATTACAGGTGCTTGTTACATGAGCAATGGGAGTGTCATAATTTGGGTGTCATGTCTGCATTAGGAATGCTGCATTTGTCTTCCGAAGCTGCGGTGTGGATCTCGCACTGTGGCCGCCTCGGCTTGGCTGGGGAGAACCTCGGTTGGCAGGATTCAGAGGGGCTTTTGGTTTCCCTTTTCCACACTGAGCCCTTCTAACTGGTCTCTGGCCCTGATTATTCAGGGCTGCAAAAGGGAAGGATTTTATTCACCGTCTATGCGGTCCCGAGTTGTCCCAAAGCGAGGCAGTGCCCCAAAGGTCTGTGCTGAGGAGAACGCTGCTCTGCCTTAGCGGTGTCCCCCGGGTCTGTGCTGAGCAGAACGCAGCTCCGCCCTCGCGGTGCCCCCGGCCCGCCTGGGTCTGTGCTGAGGAGAACACTGCTCCGCCTTCGCTGTATATCTGAAGTCTGTGCAGAGGAGAACTCAGCTCCGCCCTGGCGATGCTCTCCTTGGCTGTGCTGGGAAGAACGCAGCTCCGCCCTCGCAAAGGCGCACAGCGCCGGCGAAAGGCGCAGAGAGGCCCACAGCGCCGGGGCAGGTGCAGAGAGGCCCACAGCGCCGGCGCAGGCGCAGAGAGGCCCACAGCGCCGGCGCAGGCGCAGAGAGGCAGAAGGCCCATGAGGGGAAGGTGAGACACCTGGGGCAAAGAAGAAAAAAAAATGCGCCGCGAAGCAGTGTCTGGGTCATCCAGGGACGAAAGTTTTTTCCCATCAGCCCTTGCGCTGGGCCCCAGGGACCCTGGCATCCCTGGTTCACGCCCGGGGTGTGCCTCAGGCGACTAGGGGCACCCCAACTTGGACAGAAGGCCCATGAGTGGAAGTTGAAGTTTGTGGGAGGAGAGGTGAGGCACCAGGGGCAGAAAAAATAAAAAAAGAGGACCGCGTCTCAGAGAAGCGGGGCCTGGGTCCCCCACGGATGAAAGTGCCTTCCCATCAGGCCCTATGCTGGGCCTGGTGGACCCTGGCGACCCTGGTTCGAGCCCAGGGTGAGCCTCGGGACAGCTTGGGGTACCACAAAGCAAAGAAAAGGTCCATGAGGGGAAGGTGAGGCACCTGAGGCAGAGAAAAAAAAATGCTCAGCCGAGAAGCAGTGCCTGGGTCCCCCACGGATGAAAGTGCCATCCCATCAGCCCCTTCGCTGGGACCTGGGGACCCTGGCGTCCCTGGTTTGACCCTGGGGTATGCCTCGGGACAGTAGGGGTACCCCAAGGTGGGCAGAAAACCCCTAAGGGGAAGGTGAGGCACCTAGGGCAGAGAAAAAAAAAAACTTCACCGCGGAGAAACACGGCCTGGGTGCCCCACAGACGAAAGTGTCTTCCCATCAGTCCCTGCACTGGGACCCAGGGACCCTGGTGTCCCTCGTTCGAGCTCAGGGTGTGCCTCGGCCGCTAAGTGCACCCCAAGGGGGCTTTGGGGACACAAAACCCGTGAGGGGAAGGTGAGTTTTGAGGGAGGAGAGGTGAGGCACCTGTCACAGAAAAAGAAAAAAAAGAAACCCGCACCGCGGAAAGGTGGGGCCTGGGTACCCCACGTATGAAAGTGCCTTCCCATCAGCCCCTGCGTGGGGCCCCGGGGAACCTAGAGTCCCTGGTTGGAGCTCAGGGAGAGTCTCGGGCCACTAGGGATACCCCAACGCGGTGGAAAGTCCATGAGAGGAAGGTGAGCTGTGAGGGAGGAGAGGTGAGGCACTTGTGGCAGAAAAGAAAAAGAAACCGCGCCACGGAAAAGTGGGGCCTGGGTCTCCCATGGAAAAAAAGTGCCTTCCCATCAGTCCCTGAGCTGGGCCCCGTGGACCCAGGCGACCCTGGTTCTAGGCCTGGGTGCACCTCGGGCCCGCTAGGTGTACCCCAAAATGGGCAGAAGGCCCATGAGGGGAAGGTGAGGTTTGAGGGAAGAGAGGTGTGGCACCTGCGGCAGAAAAAAAAATAACCGTGGGGAAGAGAAGCGGGGCCTGGGTCTCCCACGGACGAAAGTGCCTTCTCATCAGCCCCTGCGCTGGGCCCCCTGGACTCTGGCGACCCTAGTTCAAGGACCAGAAGAGACTCCGGCATGCTAGGGTACCCTAAGGAAGCCAGAAAGCCCATGAGGGGAAGGCGAGATTTAAGGGAGGAGAGGTGAGTCACCTGTGGCAGAAAAAAAAAAAAAAAAAAAAAAAAAAAAAAAATATATATATATATATATATATATATCAGCACCTCGGAGAAGCCGGGCCTGGGTCCCCACTGATGAAAGTGCCTTCCCAACTCGGGCCTGCTCGTGGTACCCCAAAGCAGGCAGAAGGCCAGTGAGGGGAAGGTGAGGCACCAGGGGCGGAGAAAAAAATCCGCAGCTTTGAGAAGCGGGGCCTGGATACGCACCGATGAAGGTACCTTCCCATCAGCCCCTGCGCTAGGCCCCAGCATCCATGGCATCCATGGTTCGAGTCCAGGGAGAGCCTTGGGCTGCTAGGGGTACCCCAAGTAGAGCAGAAAGCCCATGATGGGAAGTTGACATTTGAGGGAGGAGAGGTGAGGAACCTGTGGCAGAAAAAAAAAAAAAAAAACAAGCCACGCCTAGGAGAAGCTGGGCCTGGGTACCCCAAGGATGAAAATGCCTTCCCATCAGTCCCTGCGCTGGGCCCTGTGGACGCTGGAGACCCCGGTTCGAGCTCCGGGTGCACCTCGGGCCTGCTAGGGGTACCACAAGGGGGGCAGAAATCCCATGAGGGGCAGTTGAGGTTTGAGGAAGGAGAGGTGAGGCACCTGTGGCAGAAAAAAAAAACTGCACCACGAAGAAGCGGAGCCTGGGTCCCCAACGGACGAAAGGGTCTTCCCATCAGCCCTTGCGCTGGGCACAGGGGACCCTGGCATTCCTGGTTTGAGACCAGGGTGCGCTTCAGGCCGCTAGGGGTACCCCAAGACAGACAGAAGGCCCATGAGGGAAAGGTGAGACACCTGGGGCAGAGAACAAAATAGAAAACTGCGCCCCCCAGAAGTGGGGCCTGGGTTCCCCATGGACGAACGTCCCTACCCATAAGCCCTACACTGGGCCCCGGAGACCCTAGCATCCCTGGCTCAAAACAAGGGTGCGCCTCGGGCCGGCAAGGGGTACCTCAGGGCGGGCAGAAAGCCCATGACGGGAAAGTGAGGCACCTGGGGAAAAGAAAAGAAAAAAAACGCCACAAAGAAGCAGAGCCTGGGTCCCCGAGGAAGAACGTGTCTTATCATCAGCCACTGCGCTTGACCCTGTGGAACCTGGCTTACATGGTTCGAGCCCAGGGTGTGCCTTGGGCCGCTAGGGGTACCCCAAAGCGTGCAGAAGGCACAAGAGGGGAAGGTGAGGTACCTGGGGCAGAGAAAAAAAAATCCAGCCGCGGAGAAGCGGGGACTGGGTCCTCCACACGGACGAAAGTGTCTTCCCATCAGGCCTTGGGCTGGGCCTCAGGGACCCTGGAGTCCCTGGTTCGATCCCACAGTGCACCTCGGGCGGCTAGGTGTACCCCAAGGCAGACAGAAGGCACATGAGGGGAAGGTGAGATTTGAGGAATGAGAGGAGAGGCATCTATGGTAGGAAAAAAAAAACCGCGCAACGGAGAAGCAGGGCATGGGTTCCCCACAGACGAAAGTGCCTTCCCATCAGGCCCTGAGGGTTTGAAACAGAATGAGGAGTGACTAATGTCTACTGGGTTTTTCCCTGGTCGGGGGTGATAAGACGTTCTACAATGGATTGCGAATTAAAATTGAATGTGCACAACCACAGGTATACTAAAAGCCACTCAATTCATGACTTTTAATGGGGGAATCTTAAGTGGCGCACTCTCATGGAGACCACGGCAGACATAGTGAGAGAGAAAAAGGTGAGTAAATACCTGAAACGGAGGCAGAAACAGAGAGAATGAAAAGCCCTGTGAATGGAAGGGAGAGCGAAAAGGGAAAATGGTCCTATTTAAAATGACAGATGTGAAACTGGGGTTCACATCAACAGTGTCACCGCCAGGAAGGAGGGTGATGCTAGCCACGTCACCGGTAGTGTGTCCCGCAGGGACGCCGACCTGCTGGAGCGTCATGCCAGCATGGGCTCTGGCAGCCATGTGGGCCAGCAGGAGGTCCCCGCTGCAGAGCTGTGGGGTGAGGATAGACTGGGTGGTAATATCGGCCATGACAGGGGCCTCTTCTGCTGGCAAGAGTGTGACAGTAGCAAGTAGATGGACAGGCCTGCGTGTGAGGACGGAATGCAGGAGCGGCTCTTGTGCGGCTTGGTGTGGAGCCCTCACGGGAACCGTGGAGTAATGACCAGGTAACTGCGTCATGTGGGCTAGTAGACTGGCCAGGGATTCGAACTGAAGGACAATAACGGGGAGTAGCTGTCAGGCCCTGGGAGTGTCTGAGTGTAAGTGGAGATGGGTTTGGGGTCACTGAGGGATGCGTGGGAGCCATCCCTGTATAGGTACAGGTCATAGGGAGATAGTCTCGTGTGGCCTGTGAGTGTCTAGGGTTGTCCTGGGTGCCAGGGGCTGACTGTGGCAGAAATCTGGGGAAGGCTGGAGAGAAGCTGGGAGACCCAGGAGAGTCCCTGAAGGCAGGGGGTGAAGAGGTGAAAGAAATGAGGGAGGGTTGCAGTAAGGTCCGTGAGTTTGTAGGTGATTCCTGGGTGCGGGAAGCTGACTCCAGGTGAAATCTGGAGATGGTTGCAGAGTAGCTGAGAGAGACAGAAGAGTCCCTGAGGGCTGGGGGTGAGCACATGAGGGAGACTGGGGAGTAAGTCAGTGAAATTCGTGAGTTCGGTGGTGTATCGTGGGTGCCTGGAACTGACTCCAGCTAGAATCTACAGAAGTTTGAGAGTAGCTGAAAGAGACACAAGAGTCCCTGTGGGCTGAGGGCAAAGACCTGAGAGAGACCAGGGAGGACGTCAGTGAAGTCTGTGAGTCCGTAGGTGATTCTGTAGTGTGGGAGGCTGACTCCCACTGAAATCTGGGCGTGGTGGGGGAGTAGCTGGGACAGACAGGCGAGTCCCTGAGGGTTCGAGATAAAGAGGGGCTAGAGACTGGGGAGTAACTCAGTGAAAGTGGTGGGCTTGGCGGTGATCCCTGGGTTCCTGGAACTGACTCCCGCTGAAATGCGGGTGTGGTTGGAGAGTAGCTGGGACAGACTGGAGGGTCCCAGGGGGCTGGGGGTGAAGACATGAGAGAGACTGGGGAGTAACTCAGTGAAACTGCTGAGTTTGTAGGTGATACCTGGGTGCCTGGAACTGACTCACGCTGAAATCTGGGCATGGTTGGAGAGTAGCTGGGACACACAGGAGAGTCCCTGAGGGCTGGGGGTGAAGACATGAGAGAGACCGGGGAGTAACTGAGTGAAACTTTTGAGTTTGGTGGTGACTCCGGGGTGCCTGGAACTGACTCCAGCTGCAATGTGGGCGTGGTTGGAGAGTAGCTGGGACAGACGGGAGAGTCCCTGAGGGCTGGTGAAGACATGAGAGAGACTGGAGAGTAATTGAGTGAAATTGGTGAGTTTGGTGGTGATTCCTGGGTGCCTGGAACTGACTCCCGCTGAAGTGTGGGCGTGGATGGAGAGTAGCTGGGACACACAGGAGAGTCCCTGAGGGTTGGAGATAAAGACGTGCTAGAGACTGAGGAGTAACTGAGTGAAATTGGTGAGTTTGGTGGTGATTCCGGGGTGCCTGGAACTGACTCCAGCTGCAATGTGGGCGTGGTTGGAGAGTAGCTGGGACGGACGGGAGAGTCCCTGAGTGATGGTGAAGACATGAGAGAGACTGGGGAGTAACGTAGTGAAATTGGTGAGTTTGGTGGTGATTTCTGGGTGCCTGCAATGGACTCCCGCTGAAGTGTGGGCGTGTTTGGAGAGTAGCTGGGACAGACAGGCGAGTCCCTGAGGGTTGGAGATAAAGACGTGCTAGAGACTGGGGAGTAACTCAGTGAAAGTGGTGGGCTTGGCGGTGATCCCTGGGTTCCTGGAACTGACCCGCGCTGAAATGTGGGCGTGGTTGGAGAGTAGCTGGGACAGACTGGAGGGTCCGTAAGGGCTGGGGGTGAAGACGTGAGAGAGACTGCCCAGGATCTCACTGAGGTCTGTGAGTTTGTAGGTGTTTCTGGGGTGTGGGGTACAGACTGCCGCGGAAATCTGGGCGTGGTTGGAGAGTAGCTGGGACAGACAGGAGAGTCATGGGTGGCTGGGGGTGAGCTGCTGGATGATGGCAGTAAGAACATATGGTATATTATTGATGAATGAGGTGACTGTGAAGAATCTCCAGAGGAGGACACGGGAGAACACAATGACATGAGTGACTGTCCTGCTTGGTTAGGAAAGGGAAACGTAAAGCTGTGGAATTCTGTTGATGATGGATGTGAGAGTGGTGAAGCCCTGCGGGATGATGTAGAGTACTTCCACATCCCTGGTGAGGAGCTGCCCGTTGGGTCTGAGTTTCTGGGAGGGGAGAGGGAGAAGCTGGGTGAGGCAGGCATGAATCTTGAGGAGTCAGGGCTGGGGGACCGCTCATATTCTCCCGAGACCTGTGAGTCTCTGGGGGACTCCTGGGTGCATGGGGCTGACTCCCGCAGGAACCTGGGGATGGCTGGAGAGTAACTGGGAGCCACAGGAGAGTCCCTGAGGCCTGGGGGTGAAGAGACGAAAGACACAGGGGTGGAGCACCGTGAGGCCCGTGAGTTTGTAGGTGATTCCTGGGTGTGGGGGGCTGACTCCAGCTGAAATCTGGGGTTGTTTGGAGAGTAGCTGGGAGACACAGGAGACCCCCCGAGAGCTGGGGGTGAGCTGCTGGGTGATGGCAGTAAGAACATGTGGTATATTATTGATGAACGTGGGGACTCTGAGGAATCCTCAGAGGAGGACACGGGAGAGCCCGATGGCTTCATTGATTGCCCATCACGGTGAGGACAGGGAAATGCGAGCTTGTGGGATTCTGGTGATGACAGAGGTGAGTGTGGTGAAGCCCTAGGGGATGGTGAATGGCAGCTCCGGATCCCTGGTGAGGAGCTTCCCCTTAAGCCTGAGCTTCTGAGAGGGGAGAGGGAGAAGCTGGGTGAGGCTCGCATGGACCTTGGGGAGTCCGGGCTGGGGGACCGTTCATAAGAAGAGCCAGACAAGACCCTACTGTTCTTAGGTGCAGACATGATTAGGAAACCTGCAGCTCCCAGGGGCCCCTACTAATTTTCTAACTCGCAGAAGGAAGGAGTGTGTGTGCGTGGGTGTGAGTGTGTGCGTGTGTGTGCGTGTGTGTGTCTGTGTGTGTGCGGTGTGAGGTATGTGCCCCTTAAGAAAATGGAAATCAACCAACCAATGAGACAGACACACAGACAGACAGACAGACAGACAGACAGACAGACAGAGATTCACTTGCCCAAGTGTTCTGTCCTGTCCTCTGAATCCGCTTCCAAGTCGCAAGACGCCGTGAGCTCCAAGTCCACGCAGAGTCCGCCAAACGCTCCGGCCGCTGATCCGCTCCGCGAAGATCTGAGTACAGGCCAGCCAGGGTGGGTTTAAATACCCTCGGGCGCAGCCTAGCAGCGGAAAGGGCGGAGCTTCACCCCTCCTTTCCGTCAGTCACCCCCAACTTTCCCAGGCTACACCTCGTAGGAAACTGTTCTCCTGCTTTGATTTCATGCGCCACCTTTTGGACAATCTAACAACTTCCAAGTTTTCTTGGCCAGATATATTAGGAATTGTATGCACTGAAACACTGAAAACCAACTAGTGGTTCTGTGGTTCCCACGTTGTGGTTTTGACACCAGCAGCATCCTTGCCACAATCAAACCCCGGAGATCCACAGATCTGTGTTGTAACAAGACCTCCCCCTGACCCTGATGCATGGCAGTTTAAGAAGTCTTTCCGTGTAAGCGAAAAGACTTTGAAGAAAGGGTGGAGATATGCGTTGTATAAACATTCTTTTGCTCCGGAACCACGTGGAGTCTTGGGAGCCAGTTGGGTGGAGCATTCGTTGGATGAGGGTGCTCGGGTTCGGAATATCAAGGTGTGGTTCCAGATAATCCAATCATCTAATTAAGATTCCAGTTGTGCTCATGTGTTTTAAAATTCCGTTTGGGTAAATTGTTTTAGTCAGACTGAGAATGGCAAAGCCTCAATCCCAATTTCCAGGGAGGGTTGACAGCCTCAGGTGGAGTTGATCACCAATAGCCTATGGTTTAACCCATCATGCCTATAGAATGAGGTCTCCATAAAAACCCAAAAGGACTGGGTTCAGGGAGCTTCTGGATAACACTTCCTGGAAGGTAGTGCGCCCCTCCCCACATGCCGGGCCCCACATTTATTTCTGAGCTTTTTGCAATGTCCGCTAAAATACAACGGCAAATGTGAGTGTTTCCCTGAGTGCTGTGAGCTCTTCCAGCAAATGAATGCAACTAAATCTGGGAGTGGTGGCAACCTGATTTATAGCAAGTTGCTGAGAAGCACAGGTGAAACAAAGTAGGGCTTCCCATTGTTATTAGTGTGGGAGGCCTGTCTGGCGGGACTCGGCCCTTTGGAATCTAATGCTATGTCCCGGTAGATAGCGTCACCATTGAATTAGAAGACACACATATGTTGAGAATAATCTTTCTGGTCATTTGCCGCATGTCCTATTTACAATATGTAATCAAATTCTTTATCCTGACCTTATGGCACCTGGGTTGAGAACCATGATTTGAACCAAACATTGGTCTGTCACTTTCGGAGTTGGAAACTTTATTTTGCCTTTAGCGTTTTGCTATTGCTTTTTCGTTTTCTTTTGTTTCGTTTCGTTTCTAAGTGCTGGGGTATACGTGCAGGATGGGCAGATTTGTTACTAAGGTAAACGTGTGCCATGGTGGTTTGCTGCACCTGTCAACCCATCACCTAGGTATTAAGCCCAGCATGCAGGAGCTGTTTTTCTTAACGCTCTGCCTCCCGAAAGGCCCCAGTGTGTGTTGTTCCCCTTCCTGTGTCCATGTGATCTCATTTTTCAGCTCCCATTATAAGTGAGAATGTGGCGTTTGGTTTTCTTTCCCTGGATTAGTTTGCTGAGGATAATGACCACACATCACCACTGATTTGTTTTTTAGTATAAAGAGTAGTATTTTATTGAATAAGATTTGCTCACAGAAAAATAAGCTTAAATCTACAATGAATGCCAGACTCTACAGCAGAAAGCAATTTTCTCACTTTTCCACACACAATGGTTCCTACTAAGTGAAAAAAGCCATAAAATTTCATTCACAAATGTACTACTCTGTCTCAAAACATCTCACATAATCATGCACTGTACTAAAGCCATTAGATCAGTTCTTCAGTCAGGTTAAAGAAGTATCCCTCTAATAACTGACTTTTATAATGCTATCAGTAGGCACTCCCAATCAGTCTGCCATTGTTAATGGTGTACAGCATTACTGTATACACTGGAATTGATGACACCCATATCCACGGACAAGCCGAGACTTATGATGGTTTGATTCATGATTTTTCAACGTTATGATGGGTTTACTGGAATATTAGATGCGTTTCTGAGTTACACTGGGTTTATGAGTATGCGACCCTATACTCCAGAAACAGCTGTATAAGGAAAAACAGGTGTACCTAATAAAAATGTGCTTAGTGACTTGGGATAAACCAATAGATGTTCACAACTGATGGAGAGCCGTGAAAGAGAGATAGCGGTACATAGTTACAATAACACAAGTTTCCTGCACCTGTCGAGGATTTCCCCAAAAAAACGCAGAATGTGGGATGCACCTAAGGCATATGAAAGAGAGAGGGCAGAAGGAGTAAGAGAGAAATAGGAGGAAGGAAGGAAGGAAGGAAAGAAGGAAGGTAGGAAGGAAGGAAGGAAGGAAAGAAGGAAGGAAGGAAGGAAGCAAAGAAGGACGAACGGAAGGAGGAAACACCCGGTGTTACTAAAACCCCCAAAAAATATGGTTTCCCCCTGTGGGTAAGCCTACAGTGTGGATGAATCTTGAAAATATTGTGCTACGTGTTATGTCAGTCATAACAGCTCACCTATTGTGCAATTCCGTTTATAGGAAATGTCCACAATATGGAAATCTATGCATATGGGGTTGATCGCACTAGGTAGTTGCTACCTAGGGCTGAGGGTCAGGGAGAGGGTTTGAGACAGAATGAGGAGTGACTAATGTCTACAGGGTTTTTCTCTGGTCGGGGGTGATAAGACGTTCTACAATGGATTGCGAATTAAAATTGAATGTGCACAACCACAGGTATACTAAAAGCCACTCAATTCATGACTTTTAATGGGGGAAAAGTGAAAAGAAGCAATCACAGGTATATGAAAATTTAAGTTCTTGTTTAATATTAGGTTTTTTTTTTTGCTTTACTAACAAAGCATAGTCCAAATGACATGACCTTTCAGACTATACCTTTAGAATCCAATAGATCATAATTTTATATGTAATTTTTAAAACATCATAACCAGTTATGAAACTTAAGATATTCTTACTATCTCGAGTAACTATTAGTTATTCTAGTAATTCTTAGTATCTCTAGTAACTCATAGCTGTCTTTACCCTTGGAATTGAGGCAAGAAATTTTCAGAATTATCTTGCTGTTTTATTTATATAACCTTACTCATAATACACAAGGTAACATGAAGTATTGGGTCATATTACTGAGGAATAGAAATTATGAACAGTTTAACAACAATGGCCACTGAGTTAAACTAGTGTTAAAGGAGTCATCATTGCCAGTGCTTCAAATGTTGCAGTTTTATATTGCTGGTCACCAGTGCCGAGGTTAAAGATTTATTCTGTTTTGTGGTCACCAGTTGACTTCTGTGTCTGTGTTCAGGGAGTGAATGGGGTCATAAAAGTCAATGCAGTTGCCTATTAAGAGAATCCTACCTTGCAGAATGGGACCTTTGGTGTCAGGGTGTGAACAATAACTTTATTTCAACATAAATACATAGTAAACATTACTAAAATTTAAAAAATCCAAACCCTATCACTACCGGAACTTAAAATATATTAAAAGTGGATATAAGCAGAAATTCTATCTAGATACATAACACTATCATAGTATATCATTTGAATTAGAATTTAAAATTTTGATTCTCTTTCTTATTGGTGTTCAGTTTAGCTCTTAATAATTTAGTGTTTGCCTAGTGCTCTAGTTAATCTTCAGAAATAAACATGCACTGTAGGGGCTTACTCTTTCTGGTATGCTGAGGTAAAGTCTTTGTAAGAGAGGGAGCTTTTATAATACTACCTATCATCTTTGAATTCATTTCTGGTAGATTTTACACAAATGCATTAAGTTTAGTCCAAACAGACACTGAGAGTTCAGCTTGCTGGTTCATGTTTCTGTCCTATGTTAAGCCAAGGCAAATTATTTTTCACTTTTTAGTCACAATCCCATAATTTAAGAGTAGCAACACATAGATTAAGTTTCACAGTTAAATTTTAACTATTTTCTAATATTACTTTGTTTATACTTGATTAAAGCTAATTTTAAAACATGCACTCTGACAGAAAAGACATCTGAGAAACAAAACAAGCAAATTTGTTTTCCATTTTGCACCTGCCCCCCCCCCCCCAAAAAAAAAGTCTCAAGAACCAGAACTGGGTAAGAACAGTGATAAAGGGAATCAATCTATATATTCATGACTTTCTTTAATATTCATTACAAACAAGTTCAAGCTGAATATTGGTAAAAGTTCTGAAAACTCCAAAATCACTGCTTGCCCTGAGGAAGAGCTCCTACATGGTAACTCTAAAGAGGGATGAACAAAAAAGGAGTGCCCTCTAGTCTGATGAATCATGTCCCTGATTGTGAGGAGAAAAATGTATCTGGAGGGTCTAGCTCTGTGGCAGTCCAGGCAGCGCCTGAACAGAGGAAGCCCATGTCAAATGTCTTTTTATTCGATTCACACTCTAGGTCCCTGAAATACACTTACCAGTCATCTTCTAAGCTTCATTTAAATTAAAATAAATCAGACTATAAAAATGATAACAAACAAGACACACAGCTTGTTTCTAACACAGATGATGGAAATTTTTGTTATGATATAGAAACTGAAAATGTAAGGAACCCAGTAATTATGATTGAAATGAAAGATGATTAAGAGTTTGACATGCAAATGGAAAAATATATAAACCCAAATACTACTAATTGGAAATTAGACATTAGGCATTGGTCTCAGTCTAGAGATCCAGAAAGTCTTTTTGATTTGTTGTTTACCCACCCCAAAGAAATGAAGCATATGATTCAGATAGAAAGTCACAGTATTTCTGCTGCTACAGATACTTATAAAAACAGAAAACCAACATAGTGCTTATTCCAGAAGCCGCTGTATGACAATCCCAGTGTTAATAACTACAAAACCATCAATCTTGAATTATAAAATGCGGGTTATTCTTTGCCACATAGTGAGAGAACATCAAAAATATAGCTAGAAGACTTACAGCAAGATATTCCAAGGTCACTAACATAGCACATGTATACATATGTAACAAACTTGCACATTGTGCACATGTACCAGAACTTAAAGTATAATAATAGTAAAAAGAATGAGGTAGGCATGTTACAAGTAGAGTTCCTGGCTTTGGAGAAAGAGAAAGTCCAACTTCAAAAAGACAGAGGTTCACTTGCTGCTTCTTTTTTCTCTTTATCAATTATTTGATTTAGTCAAATTTTCTATTCAAGAAAATCTCATGTGTACAGTTACAGCGGGGTTTTCTAAATGTGTAATTATGTGTCAAAGTAGATTAGTTCTGCTATCTAAACAAAGGTTCTGGAGAATGTTCTCATAATGTTTCTTCATTAATCAACCTAAGTCTCACTCTCAGTCTTCCAAGTGGCATATGAGCTGGGAAACTAATTCAGCCATATACCATGTGACCTTCTGAACCAGATCAACATAAAGAAATTGCTAAAGAAATAAGCTTTAGATTCTAGATTCTTTTTTCTGTATTCATCTAGAGATGAATTACATTTATTTGATGATAGAATGGGAATACAATGAGAGGGAAGCAATGACTGAGATGAGCCACAAAAACACGTCTAGCCTTGAGAGTTGCAATGAATATTCCCAGCCAAATGAGTCTGTTTAATGTGTTTTCATGCACGCCAGTTTATCTGCTTAGCTCAAACTGTTTGAATTTATAGTTCCATCATGGTTATTTCCAATATTTTGAAAACAAATATATACATCCACATATTTTAAAAAATCACCACTCCAATATTTCTGTTGAATCAGACCTTACATTATGTTGTTTAATAAAGTATGGTAAGTTTTGGCATGTATGATTTTTATCATGTAAGAAAGAAGCATAATTTCTTAGCTAAAAATTTAGCCTTTGACTCTTTAGTAGAAAGTTGAGTTCTGTACATTGTGTTCTAAAGATAGACAAAAATCTAGAGATTTTCTTCTTTCAAAGTAAAAGCAGATGAGGCCTTTTCCCACCCTCTGAGGTGTTAAATTGCTTTGCTCAAGTTAGACTTTTAATATATCTGACTAATTTGATAAATTTATCTGGTAATTTATGTAATTCAGCAATATGGAATTGTATCATGTTATTTGGTGCCGTGAAATGCTAGGGAATGCCACCTCAAGAGCTCTGGATGAAACATTTCATATGTCTTGGTTGGTTTGACTCCCATTTTCAGTAGATAATGGGGCTAAAGTAGATAACTGTACCGTATGTTTTCCACCTATAAACGTTTGTGGTAATTGAATGTGAAATCTGGGAAGCATCTCGTTTTCCAGAATTCTGCACTAGAAACTCAGCAGTTTCACTCTGCTTCTTGTGTTGTGGCAAACATTGGTTCCCATAGTTCAGGGAGAACTTTCACTTTTTTGATATCCCAGGATCCAAAAAAAAAAAAGAGAGAGATAAAAGGCAGTGGGGAAAAGAATAGCTCAGTGCAGAAAAGGGAAAACTTCTTTACTCTTCCTGAAGGCCTACAAGGTCACTTCCTCTTAATCTGGCTATTTCATGTAAAATCCAGGTGGCAAAGACAGAAGATATATGTTATGCCTGTGTCTTTTTATTTCTCTGTTTCTGCCAGTCAGATAGCATAAACATTTATATCAGATAGCAAAGAGTGGATGCGAATAAAAGCACAAAATGGAGAAGAGTCTTTTTTGAAATTTTGGAAAATTATTCCATTCACTCAAACAGAAATGAGCAGACTTGACAAAAATTTCAATGATAAAATGATAAGTATCTTATAATTATTATGTATAATGATAAAGTAAGCACAAAATAGTTTTATCATTAAAATGGTGATAGTTAACCTGAATCAAGTGAAAAAATCAGGGAAAAAGGTTTTATAGAATAAAATAATAATTATTATTCATATTACTTTTATTAAAGGTCAAAGAAGGAAATAATACAAACAAAAGTGAAAAAATACAACTATCAGAAAATGTATGTCATAGTACATCTTCTGCTGCTGCTGACAGATTAACCAAACAAAGAAAGGTTGGGAAAACGTATCCTCAGCAATTTCCCAAGAAACTGAAGGAAGAGCATGATAGGTAAGTAAGCCTATAGCAGTGTGTTTTTGTTTTTTTGTTTTGTTTTGTTTTTTTCTGAGATGGAGTTTCTCTCTTGTTGCCCAAGCTGGAGTGCAATGGTGTGTTCTCACCTCACTGCAACCTATGCATACTGGGTTCAAGTGATTCTCCTGACTCAGCCTCCCTAGTAGCTGAGATTACAGACATATGCCACCATGCCCAGCTAATTTTTTTGTATTTTTAGTAGAAATGAGGTTTCACCATGTTATCCAGGCTTGTCTCGAACTCCTGACCTCAGGTGTTCTGCCCACCTCAGCCTCCCAAAGTGCTGGGTTTACAGGAGTGAGCCACCGTGCCTGGCCACCTATAGCAGTATTTATCAGCGGATAATTGTCATTGTGCTATAAACTAATTCAAAATTGGACTAATGTTCCTTATGATTAACAAGTTTTATAGTTTTACCAGGGATATTTAGCCCTGCCTGGTAATCAGAAAAATGCAAATTAACATAAAATAAGATATATTTTGTAAAGTCATGCTGATATTGAAAAAGTAATTACTACCATTGAAAATGTGAGGAAAAAGGCATTCTCATACACTGTTGGTATATGAAATTGGTAAATTATTTCTGAAGGGTAACTTAGTGCTGTGTATCAAAATTTCAAATAACCTGACATCCCTTTAACTCAACAACTCCACTTCTGGGACTAGATTTCACAGGAAAACATAACTTGTGTAAACATACACACACTTATTAAGGGCATTAATTATATATTACACATAATGAACAATAGCTTAATAAATATATAAAATATATGTAATAAGAAGGTGAATTGGAAGTATTAAGAAAGAATTATAAAAAGTGTGGGGTAACAGATGTTAGACTCTTTAGCCTAGTTTTAGATGACAATCATCTGCAGATATAGTTTGTGTGAGAGACATCTTACTCTGTAAATCATTTGGAGAGACACATACAATATTTCATAGAGATGAAAATTTATTTCTAGTGAACTTATACACTTGTCAATAAATCGTAACTTTAAAAATTTAGTTGATTGTAAATGATCTTTTCTAATCGGGGAGTAATTATGACTGTGTGATTTGAAAAGGTAATTTTGAACTTCTAACTATACTGAATTATTTCCAGTATCCTTTTTTATAATACATACTAGAGTGACTAGTAACAAAAACTTTAGCAGAATATTCTTTCCTTACTACTTTTCAAGTATATACATTCGTTTGAAGATGTTGAAGTGAGAAATTAAATATCTGAGAACTACAAAGGAAAAATAATCCAGCACATAGAAATTTTATTAGGATGATAAGGAGCATCTGCAGAGGTAGATCACAGGATGATCTCTTTGTTTTTTAACAAAATGAATTTTAAGATAAATGTCTTTATCTGCAGATGCATCTTAAGACAAGAAAGTGAAGAAAAAACAAATGTTAATATGCTGTACAAAAAAATAGAGAAGAATTAGAAAGGAAAGAGAAACAATATAAGAAAGAAGTTGAAGCAAAACAACTTGAACCAACTGTTCAATCACTAGAGATGAAACTGAAGACTACAAGAAATACTCCAAATCAGATAAATCAATCTTTGGTAAAAATTCTATATTTTAAACTTTATTTTATCAATGTTACTTATAATATCCTCTTGATTTAATATATAATATTTTGGTCTAAAACAAACCAGAAATGTTATCTCATTTTCAAAAAATGAATGATGACACTTACAGGTACAATTATTAATATTTATTATAAATCATGGCATCCACATAGGATATTATTTTATTACAAAGAGCTTTTGAAAACAATAATATGCCATAATATATACTTAGTGATAACCTATTGATAAAGATTTTTTCCCAGTAAAGTTGTTCCTTGTACTTCCCACTATTTCATATTGATTACTGTACCTAATACTATAAAGAGGAAACAAATTATTGCAATCACAAGTAATCTCATTATATTCTAAGAAGAGCTCTATAAATTTTATCTTATTTACCATTGGTGTTTTGAAATAAAAGTATTCTTTCGTATTGATACATTTACACCACAGAAGTAACTGTGATCTGTCAGAGAACTAGAAGTAGAGTCAGAAGTCCTGGGGAAAATCCTATAGCTTGCTTATATTTTTAACATCTCTTTTTCAAAATTGTGGTAACTAGATGAGTTCATCAATGAATGTATATAGGAGTGACTAGTATAATGTCTAGATTTATGATTTAGTAAATGTAATTCTTACAACTGACTATAAAAGTGTTAAAAGAGTCAAATTGAAATAGAATGTTATCAGTGAAACAGAACTGTAGTAACTCTGGGAAATTTTATCTGTCCAAATACGTGTGAAGTAAGTTTCTTACTATAGGGTGGTGTATGGGTTAGATATCAAAGTGTAAATGCAATTTTTTGATATATTTTAATTTAGTCAAATTTGTTAATGCCTTAATTTATGCTTTTGAGTTTGTTATAATTCAGGGAAAGGCTTTTCCAATTCTGAAATTCTTAAAAATTCTCTGGTGTGCGTGTGTGTGTGTGTGTTTACTTTTATAAATTCATTGACTTTAAATAAATTTCTGAACTTTTTGGAACTTATGCTCTATAAGGTTCAAAGTCTTGCTTCAACTATTTCTCCAGTTGGATATCCACTTACAGTAAGCTTTTTAGTATATGGATGTGCAGGTTATTCTTTAACTTCAGAGGTAATCATGATATGTTATTTTATTGAGTACTAGCTAAAACTTTCTTTTGTTTTATTTAGGATTTTCATAATCACGAAGAAATGAAAGATCTGATGGATGAAAATTGCATTTTGAAGACAGATATTGCTATACTCAGACAGGAAATATGCACAATGAAAAATGACAACCTGGAAAAAGAAAATAAATATCTTAAGACGTTAAAATTGTTAAAAAAACAAATGCTGTCCTTGAAAAGTATATAAAACTCAATGAGGAATTGATAACAAAAACAGCATTCCGGTATCAACAAGAGCTTAATGATCTCAAAGCTGAGAATACAAGGCTCAATTCCGAACTGTTGAAGGAAGAAGAAAGCAACAAAAGACTGGAAGCTGAAATTGAATCATCAGTCTAGACTGACTGCTGCTATAAGTAAACACAGTGAAAGTGTGAAAACAGAAAGAAACCTAAAACTTGCATTAGAGTGAACACAAGATGTTTCCGTACAAGTAAAAATGAGTTCTGATATTTCCGAAGTAGAAGATAAGAATGAGTTTCTTACTGAACAACTTTCTAAAACGGAAATTAAATTCAATACCTTAAACGATAAGTTCCGTAAGAAAAGAGATACTCTCAGAAAAAAGTCATTGGCTTTAGAAACTCTCCAAGCGACCTAAGCCAAACACAGCAGCAAATAAAGGAAATGAAAGAGATGTATGAAAATGCAGAAGCTAAAGTGAATAATTCCACTGGAAAGTGGAGCTGTGTAGAAGAGAGGATATGTCAACTCCAACATGAAAATCCGTGCATTGAACAGCAACTAGATGATGTTCATCAGAAAGAGGATCATAAAGAGATAGTAACTAATATCCAAAGAGGCTTTATTGAGAGTGAAAAGAAAGACCTCATGCTAGAAGAGAAAAATAAGAAGCTAATGAATGAATGTGATCATTTAAAAGAAAGTCTCTTTCAATATGAGAGAGAGAAAGCAGAAAGAGTAGTAAGTATCAAGGAAGATAAATATTTTCAAACTTTTAGAAAGAAAATTTAAACATTTGGTTCTGGATACATGTTGAACTTAGTTGAATATAAAAATCAATGGATAAAAAGTGTGTTTACCATACTGTATAATTCCATTTACATGAAGCATCCAGAAAAGATAAACGTATAGGGACAAAAAGTAGACTAATGTTTGCAAAGGGCTGGGTCTGAAAGCTGGTAGTGACTGCTAATGGGCGTGAGGGATCTTGCAGTGATGGAAATGCTGTAAAGTTGGATTGTAGAGATGGCTGCACAACTCAGTAAATGGACTAAAAAATCTTTTAACCTTAAGTTAAAACAGATACATTCTATAGTATGTAAATTATATTTCAACAAAGCTGTTTTAATAAAAAAAAGGAAAACCGTGTTTACTATACCAGCTTAGAAACGTGTCTCATTTCTAGGAAATCAAAGGTAGAGGTGAGAGATGATTTACTTTGAGAAAAGACATTGTGTCACCTATGAAATTTTATTAGGCACAGAGTCGTATTTTAAGGTAGATAGTTCTGTACTGCTGAAATAATAATTTTAATGACTTTATGTTGCCACATGTTAAGACCATAATGTAAGTATAAATGGAAATGTTTACACCTGAAATGAGTATTTTCAAATTAAAATTTAATTGATTTTCTTTGACACTTAATTCTAGATTTCCCAGATGAACTGAAGTGTATTGCTTTGTCTTGTAATACCTTGCTTTAAGTAGCTTTTTATGTATTTTAGTTGGTATATCTTTGTTATTAATCATATTAATTTAACAAATCTGAAAATATGTCAAATTACATATTTTTATGACTATGTAATGTTTTAAAGGCACCTACTTGTTATAAAATCATAATTTAGGATACATGTGGTAATATTTAGCAAAATTATATTTGGTTTAGTCTTCCCACTGGTATTCATAGTTTACTTTGAATATTTATATTAATAATTAGCTCCTAATTTTTATTTCAAGGCTCAATGACTATCATTGGAATATAATTTTGTTCAGTACAAAGATACTTGTAACTGCCTGTGATTTATGAGTAAGGCATTAGATCCCTATTTTCAGACTGAGGGGTGGCAGGCTTCACGTACAGTGGGAATGGAGTAATTGCAGGAGGGAGTTGTAGGAGCTTTGAAGTCAGAGAGGGATGTAGAGACCTGTTTACCTAGGACCTCAAAGGCCATTGAAATTTTACTTTTATTCTGAGATAGGAATCTGTTGGAAGGATTTGAACAGGTGATTGAATATGTCAGGAAGTTTGAGGTTGAGTTGAGCTTCTAAGATGATTGAATGGTGGGATGAATCTGTTATGTAAGTAAGAGAATACCAACTTGGCAGGAAGAGAACATATTGTGCATCCCTCACTGAATTCAGTAATAAATAAAAATGTGTACATGTGATTAAAAGAAGGTGAATTTATATGTGTGGTGATAATTTTCAAAGTAGGTATGTTAGAGTTAAATATTATTAACATAATTTAATAATAAGGCAATTTATAAAATCAGTAACAAAAATATTTTCTCAGGTGGTTGTGAGACAACTTCAACAAGAAGCGGCTGACAGCCTAAAAAAATTAACTATGTTAGAGTCTCCACTGGAAGTATATCACATTATCACATTAATTTGGATGAGACACAGGTCCCAAAGAAGAAATTATTTCAAGTGGAAAGTCAAGTATGTATGGAACTTAGCATGTCAACTGTTATTCTGTAGCTAGTTGAATTACATAACATGTTTTAGGATACTAATTATGGCAGAAGCTTGATTTTTTATTTTCATTACAATGAATTATTTCCATTTTACTATCTCTATAATGTACTTATTTTTATAAAGTTACTTTCATTCTACCATTTTGAAAAACCATTGCATACCTTTTCTCTTACAATATGTACCCTTGGAAAAGTTGAGAATTATACATCATTCCTCATAGAAAACTGACTTTTGTCCTGTTAAAACAGTATTTTTAAGTAATTTTTGTATTGCTCTGATGAGGCAGGCCAGATTAAATCAGAGAAGAATGTTTCATGGAATGTTCCAGAAAATTGTCTTATTTCTTCACTTTTGTGAGTGGACACAGAATCTGTGTCTATTTATTTCACAGATTCTAGGTTAACTTGTACAGAAAGGCCATTATACTATTCTTTTAAAAGTGCATGTTTTAGGTTAATTTACAAACTATTTGAAAAGTTAGGCATTTTCTTTATTTATCTTTTATTTAAAATATACTATAAAACTGTGGAAATATTTAAATTTGAGATAACATGTACATCAAAAATTGAGAGTTGAGAAAATTATCTTGATCCTGCCTTTGGATTTTAAAAACAGTTTCACTGAGATATCATTCACATTTGAGAGAGTTCAACCATTTAAAATGTACAACTGAGTATCTATTAGTATATTCACAGCATTTTCATCACCCTGAAAAGCAACCCCACATCTCCTAGGCATGACTGCAGCCTTCCTCCATGTCCCTCCACCTACCTCTGTTGTAGGCAACCACCATCTATCTACTTTTGTCTCCATATGTTTGCCTGTTCTGCTTATTTCATATACATAGAGTTATACAATACGTAGTCCTCTGTGACTGGCTTTTTCACTTAGCATAATGTTTTCAGAATTCACTTAGCGTAATATTTTAGCACACATTGGTAGTTTATTTCTTCTTATAGTTAAATGATATTCTATTCCATGGCTATACTGGTTTTCCATTCATTCATCAGTTGATGGACCTTTAGGTTAGTTTCCACTTTTTAGCTCTTATGAAAAATGCTGCTGTGAACATTCACTTACAAGTTATTATGTGGACACAGGTTTTTATTTATCTGCCATTGGACTTTATCCTCAGAGTTAATTGGGCAGATTTCAGCACTTGTCTTGCTCATGCTATTCTTTCTACCTTTTCAGTTTCTGTTCATCTGGCCTCATTCACTCAGATGTGGCAGACAATTTATTGTTTTCATGAAGCTTTCTCTGACTGTTCTCTCATTGACCTTATGTGTTAGCAATCACTGTCTAGTCTGCGCAGAAAAACTTAGTTCTTAATTTTACATGGCTTTTTTTTATGGAAGATAATTTTCTCTCATTATAAATTTGCTTAATGGGGGAATAATATATAATATGTATGCCACCTATCCTTGCATACATTGAAAATATTTTAGCTTAGAAGTTTGTAGCATACAATTCAATACTTTATACCATACCAATTATTTCTTCTTTGAGACCTTGACACAGTAAGGTTTATATTCTAAGTGTGTTTTTAGCAATTATATATCAAATCTAAACCAATTAGTTTAATACAGGAGACTTGTTAAATCACATATTTATGTTTTTCTCTCTATGAAAAAGAATCTAAATTGGCCTTTTTTCACTATGCAGCAGAACTGTATTTCTGGACTGCTACCAGTTTGCCAGCTGAACAGTTCTGGGTGCAGCTTGTCTGATGACGGATAGCACAGCACCTCAATCTGAGTGCTCAGCAGAGTGCTTGTGAAGGCAGCACCACAGCAACAGTTGCTCAGAGGGAACGGATTCAGGAGCCTTGATTTAGCAATAGAGTCCAGGGTTTTCAGCTCAGTGTCTTTAGCCTGTCTCTGCTGGTCATGTCAGTTATGTACTATTCAATCCAGGAGGTGATGTTTACATTGTAGTACATACATAGTCATTGCCTAATGAGTCATACAGAGAGAAAAGTAAGTTATAAATTATGTCCCCCATTTGCTGCAACTCTCAGTGGTAAGAATGATTCAGTGCAGCTATAGGAGAGTACTTCCATTGGCATGCCACCTGCCTAAAATACACAATTTTGTTAAGATATGCAATAAAATTATTATGTTAATAGCAAATATTTTATGTAGCTCACTATGTTCCACGTAGTCTTCTAAGTGTTTCATGTTAGTCCCCAGTTAAACACCTGGTTTTGGAAGGCTGAAGCAGGAGGATCGTTTGAGCCCATGAGTTTGAGACCAGCCAGAGCAATATAGTGAGACCCTGTCTCAAAAAAAAAAAAATTAAACACTTATCTGAGGCATGGTGGTGCACGCCTGTAGTCCCAGCTACATTGGGAGGCTGTGGTAGGAGGGTCGTTTGAGCTTGGAATATTGAGGCTGTAGTGAACAGTGATCAAGCCACTGCACTCCAGGCTGGGTAACAGAGGGAGACTCTGTCTCATAAATAAAACGTTTTGTATAGATTCCCATAGAAATGAGTTAGACATCAGTCATAGAATTATTAGCCACTTTGATGTCTACCTTGGGAGTAAAACATATAATAAGGGGCAGCGTTAAACCATCTCAATCAATAGCCTCCAACTTCTCGAGAAGGTTCTTATTTCATGAATTTCTAAACAAACCACTACCTGGATTAAGACATTTGGTGGACACCATTTTGAGATGAAGAATCTTGAGTGAGAAGAAGGGAGATTTCTACTTACTGAAGCTTCCCAATGACATAGTTAAGTGTCCCCCAAAAGAAACTTTAGAACAAGACTTTCATCATGCCATATCTCTATGGAAAAGGAATTTCTTTAAAAGAAAACAAAGTCAAACAATTGATAATATGATTCTCATGGGAAAGTTTTCATCATAAAAGAAAAAGAGGGCTGGGTGCCGTGGCTCACGTCTGTAATCCCAACACTTTGGGAGGCTGAGGTGCGTAGATTACCTGAGGTCAGCAGTTCAAAAACAGCCTGGCCAACATGGTGAAACCCTGTCTCTACTGAAAATACAAAAATTAGCCAGGTGTGGTGGTGTGCACCTGTAGTCCCAGCTACTTGGGAGGCCGAGACAGGAGAATCACTTGAACCCAGGAGGTGGTATTTGCAGTAAGCCGAGATGGTGCCACTGCACTCCAGCCTGGATGACACAGTGTGACTCCATCTCAAAAAAAAAGAAAAAAAGAAAAACAAAAAAGGGACAAAGTATACTGGTCCAAAAAAGAAGAAAGCAAGAAAAAAAGGACAAAGTATACTGGTTAGTATCATAACAGTGAGATAGTCCCCCTTTGAGATTAGAAAATAACAGTATACTCAAAGTAACATTAATGAGAACCAACATAAAATAGACAACATTCACTATCTACAAAAGTAATCTGCACCAATTAGCAATGTATGAGCATGTGGTCGAGAATATTTTCTATAATATATGTACTAGAAGGAAGAGACCTCAAGAAAATGGTCAGAGCTGGAAATGTAGATTAGGGAATCTAGGTCAAAGTTTTGAGATTTTAGGAGTCCTGAGAGAATTTAAAAAGAGAAATAGCCACCAGGCATGGTGGCCACACCTGTAATCCCAGCACTTTGGGAGGCCAAGGCAGGAAGATCATGAGGTCAGGAGTTCAAGACCAGTCTGGCCAACAAGTTTCTTATATAAGTAAACGTGTTCCATGATGGTTTGCTGCACCTATCAATCCATCACCTAGATATTAAGCCCTGTGGGCATTAGTTATTGATCTTGATGCTCTCCCTCCTGACCCCAACAGGCCCCAGTGTTTGTTGTTCCCCTCCCCGAGTCTATGTGTTCTTATCGTTCAGCTCCCGCTTATAAGTGAGAAGATGCAGTGTTTGGTTTTTTCTTCCTGCATTAGTTTGCTGAATATATCAGCTTCAGGTTCATCCATATCCCTGCAAAGAGCATGATCTCATTCATTTTTATGGCTCCATAGTATTCCATGGTGTATATATACCACATTTTCTTTATCCCATTATCACTGATAATGTCCATCTGGGTTGATTCCATGTCTTTACTATTGTGAAGAGTGCTGCAGTGAACATGTAAATGCATGTATCTTTATAATAGAATAATTTATATTCCAACGTATGGTAATTTTAAATCAGTTTTGGTATTAAAAATCATGCATTTTGGAAAATATTGATAATGGAAAAATCCAAATTCTGCCAAAATATGTTGAGAAAATAGAGGGTAAATATATCTTTTCAAACTTTAAATGCCTCAGGCTCTTAGTTAATCTTCCCCAGATCTGGGAAGACCTAGAAGGGGAGAGATTGGGCTACCTTAATGAGGGCCATTTCAATCTCTTGGCCCTGCAGCAGCCATTTCAAAATAAGTCAAAAAATATATTTGGGGGTAAAATATTTTGATTTCCTTCAGCTTCTTCTCTCTGTGATGCTGCACCAGAATCAGATTAGAAAGGAAGCCACATTATAAGTGTTAATAAAACCCATCTGATGAGATTTGATAGTTTGAAGGGTGTGTTTCCCAGACCCTTTAGATAGAAATTGGGGCCAAAGGAAACAAGGTCTTATTCCTCTATATAAATCTGTCAGTGTTTTAAGCAGTGAAAGAAAGATTTTTCATTTAATTTTACAGACTTGATACTAATGAAAAGGATAGCTTGTAAAATATAAATCTCTTTTTCTATAAAAAGGACATGTTGTTGATTCTCTTAGACCTTGAACCCCGGCCAGGGATTTTAAACCAAGCAGTACCTATCTCCAGATCTCTAGTACCAAATTAATTTGGGGTGGGGATAACAGGTTTATTGAGAAATAATGAACACGCCATGCAATTCACTCATTTAAAGTATACAATTCATTAACTTTAGTATTTTCAGAGAGTTATGCCGTCATCATTACAATTAATTGTAAAACATTTTCATCACCCTAAAAACAAACCCCACAACATTTAGCCATCTTCACTAGTTTTCCCTTCCTCCCTCAGCCGTAGGGAACCACCCACCTTCTTTGTATAGATTTGCCTATAAGCCTCTGAAATAAAAAGCAAGTGGTCTGCTGGGACTGGCTTATTTCACTTAGCATAATTTTTCATGCTGCATCTGTGCTGTAGCAGGTATTGATGCCGGGTTTTTGCTCCTTAGTTCAGCTACATCTGGGTTCTTCTCTCATGACCAGGAAAAATCAAGCATGCAGACACATTGAGGAGGGCAGAATTTATTTGTGAAAGGACAGCTCTCAGCAAAGAGAGGGATCCTGCAAAGAGGTTTCCACCTCACAATTGAATACCAGGATCACATGAGCTGAAGTGGCCAGGCTCCTCCTCTGCATAAGGCGTGAATTCCTGGTGACTCCACCCCATCCCCCCACTGCATGTGGGCCTCCGGTCTGCTGCGGGCATGTCCAGGCAAGACAAGTCCAGGTTCCCTTATCTGCACATAACATCTGGTGTAAACACTTGTGGGGCTGGTTGGAGATTCTCCGGGGACCCTTCCGTATCTGCCTAGGCATTTTGCTGTCTCCTCCTAATACGGTATCTGTACTTAATTTCTTCTTATTGCTGAGTAATATTCCATTGTATGGATACATCAAACATTTTATTTATCCATTCGCCAGGTGATGGACATTTGGGTTCTCTCCCACCCAAAGGTGACAGACGTTCTGGTTCTTTCCACCTTTTAACTACTATTAATAATGCTGTTGTAAACATTTATGTATGAGTTTTTGTGCTTGCCTATGTTTTTATTTTTCTGGAGTATATACTTATGACTGGAATTTCTGTGTCATATGGTAACTTCATGCTTAACCCTTTAAGGAGCTGCCAGTTTGTTTTCCAAAGTGGCTGCATCACTTTACATTCCCAGCAGCATCAGATAAGGGTTTTAATTTCTTTACATTTTTCCTAACACTCTTTTTTCTTGAACAAAGATTTTATCCTGTGGTGTGAAGTGATACCACATGTGGTTTTGATTTACATTTTCCTAATGACTAATTACATTAAGCATCTATTAATGTGCTTATCCATCTTTATATCTTCTTTGCAGATATATCTATTCAAAATCTTTGCCCATTTTTTAAAATTGGCTTATCTTGTTATTTATTAATTGCAATAGTTATTTATATTTCCTATATATGTAAGTCCCTTATCAGATACACGCTTTTCAAATACTTTCTTCTACTTGGCGTCTTACCTTTTCACTTCTTCATACTGTCTTCTGAGGCACAGCAGTTTTCAATTTTGAAGTCCATTGAATCCATTTTTCCTTTGGAGTCATAGCTAAGAAAACACTGGCAAATGCAGTCACAAAGATTTATGCCAGTGTTTTCTTCTGAGGGATTTATAGTTTTAGCTTTTACAGTTAACTATTTTATTTTGAGTTAATTATTAAATAAGATATTTGGTCGAACTTTATTTATTTTTTGCTTATGGATACCCAGTTGTCCCAGCACCATTTGTTGAAAAGACTATTCTTTTCCCATTTTGTTCTTTTGTTAAGCTTGTATAAAATCAATTGACTGTAAAAGTGCAGGCTTATTTTTAGATTGTCAATTCTTAGCTTGTTTATGTCTATTCTTATGTCAAGGCCCAATCGAATTGAATGGGAAGTTTTTTTCAATCATGTTGCATATTACCAGTTGTCTTATGTCATAATAAAAATTAAATTTAGTGGAATGTCTGTAACTTCACCTTTTTTGTCACAAAGGAGTCTCTGGCCAGCTTATACCTTACTTCCTCTAAGACATGATCAGACGCCAGGCTTACAAGACACACTTAATTTCTTTTTTTCTCCATTCAAGCCTTTAGTCTCTTTTCCATTGCCTCCCACTATAGTTACATTTTCAGTAAGTTTTGGTTACAGGATCTGCTGACATAGTCTAATATTCAGTGCAGTATGTTTTACTAACTCATTATAATTCATAGAACCTTCCATAGATGTTTACCATCTAGGAAGGAGAAGTTTAAGTCTGAGCCACCAGCTTTCCTCAGTGGAAATCAAGTGAAGTCATCATCTTGCAGTTTACAGACCCTCTTTCCTCCTGGTAGCTGGTTCTCTTGGGTAGCACTGTGGCTAATCCTTTTCTTAGTGCAGATCTTGCATTCTCAGAAACCACAGTTCCCTGTATTGACCTCCTTTTACTGAAACAGAGATGCACAGCTCTGCTTTCTATCTCAGTAGAGGATTCTTGGAATAAAAGGTTTAACTCATTCCAAGAAAGTCTTAGGAGTGCAGCACTTCAAAATCAGGTAACGTTCAGGCAATTTATCAGAGACACATAGTAGATTAGTATTTTGACTTTCAAAATTTCAGAGCCAAGTTGTGTGCTATAGAGAAGCATTGTGGCATAACATAGAGATGGGATGGTCTTAACTTCTCCATACAAACAAGCTTGGAGTAAGGTAAAGGAGAAATTGCATTTGTGTCTTAACACTCAAAACACACTATGCTTATTTTACTTCTGTGAAGAATAAAAATCATTCCATAATATTCTCCTTATTTCCTCATTTAGAAAAGAAAATGAAAATTGAATACTAGGTTGATTAATAAATACTCAAAACTTCTTCTTTTAGAATTTTAGTTAATTGAAATCAGGTAAATGTCTGATTTTGCCTATGTCACCCAGTATTTCTAGTTGTTTTTCAAATCATACATCTTCTTGCTTCCCAGTCTTACTTCCTAACTTGAGGGGAAATTGTAAGAAGACACCCTTGCCTTGTTTTCAGAGTTCATAATTGAAGGAGTTTTAGGAAAATTCCTCCTCAGCAGCTTATGTCTCTCTCCTGGTTATCTACTGCTTCTCAATAATGTTTGACATCAATAAATAAATATCAACATTTATTAGATCCTGCTTTAAAGGAGACTCTTTTCTGCTGCATAAGTTATGTTTCCTGTTGTCTCTTTTTAAAACTTATTTTCCTAACAATTACCCAGAGTCTTGTGGCTTGAAAGAAAAACATTTATTTTGTTCATGAACCTGTGGTTTGGGAAAAACTTGGCCAGGACAGCTTGTCTTTGCTCCCTTCAGCTTCCCTAGGAACAGCTGATCAGTTGGGGAAATGGAATCCTCTGAAGCTTTGGTCACCCACTTGTTTGATGGTTGATGCTGGCCATCGGCTGTAAACTTGGTTGGGACAGGCAGCGTGAACACTGACACAGGCACTTTCAGGCTATCTTTGTGGCCTGATGGCTCTCACAATTGGGGCTGGGTTCCAAGGGAAAACAGTCTGAGATAGGGAAGCCACATGGTATCCCTTTCACTACATTCTACTCATTAGAAGGAAGTCAGTAAGGCTGGCCTATATTCTGTTTTTTTTAAATGGGATGAATGTAGCTTCTCTTTTGTTTTAATTGACACATATATACATAATTATGGGCTATAGAGTGATATTTTTATACACGTATATAGTGTGTAATGATCAAGCTAACTAGCACATTTACTACTTCAACCATTTTTCATTTCTTTGAATTGTGAACATTGAAAATTTTCTGGCTTTTTAAAAATATACAATAAGTCATAGTTAACCATATTCACCCTACAATGCCACAGAACACCAGAACTCACTCCACTTATCTAACTGTAATTCTGTATCCATTAACCAGCCTCCCCTCCCCTACTTCTGTGAGCTTTTTTTTGTTAAGAGACAAGGTCTTGCTAGTGTAGTCTGGGCTCTGGGCAACTGTAGTCACCCAGACTGGAGACAGTGGTTTGATCATAGTTCACTGCAGCTTCAAACTCTTGGGCCCATCTGATCCTCACACCTCAGCCTCCTGAGCAGCTGTCATTATGGGCATGCACCATTGCACATGTCTGATTTTTGACTTTGTGGAGATATCTCCCCATGTTGCCCAGGGAGCTCTGGAACTTTTGGTCTCAAATGATTCTCTTGCCTTGGTCTTACAAAGAGCTAGGAAATTACAGGCATCAGCAATATTGCCCAGCCTTCAATTTTCCTTTAGCTCCCTTACATGAGTAAGAATGTGCAGTATTTATCTTTCTGTGTCTGCACTTAACATAACATCCGTCAGACTGATCCACGTGGCCACGAATAACAGGATTTAATTCCTTTATACGGTGAATAGTATTCCACTGTGTTTGTGTGCCACAGTTTTTCGTCCATTCATTTGGTGATGGACATGTAGGTTGATTCCATACACAAGCTGTTGTGGATAGTGCTACAGTAAACATATGAGGACAGATATCCTTTTGATCTATTGTTTTCTTTTCTATTGCCTGAATGCCCGGTAGTGAGGTTGCTGGATCCCTCGGCAGTCCCATTATTAGTTTTTTTGAGAAAACCTCCTGTTGTTCTCTATTGTGGCTGCACTAATTTACCTTCCCACCAACAGCATGTAAGAGTTTACTGTTCTCTGGAGCCTCACCAGCATTTGTTTTTTTTTTTGTCTTTTCAATGACAGCAATTTATTCAAATTGAAGCAAGATTATATCACATTGTAGATTTGATTTGTATTTCCCTGAGGATTAGTGATACTGAGCATTTTAAAATTTATTTATTGGCTATTTGTATTTCTTTTTCTAAAAAAAAGTATAGTTAGATATTTTGCCCAATTTTAAACTCAGATTTTTTTTTACTGTGAAGTTGTTTGAGTTTTTTTGTATATTTTGTATATTAGTCCCTTATTAGATGAATAGCTTGACAATATTTTCTCCTATTCTACAGGTTTTCTCTTCACTCAGTTGTTTGCTGGACAGAAGCTCTTTAGCTTAATGTAGTGTCTTTTGTCTATGATTTGTTGTTTGCCTATGCTTCTGATGTCTTACCCATAAAAATCTTTGTGCAGACTAATGTCCTCAAGCATTTTCCCTATATTTACTTAGAGTAGTTTGATAATTTTGGGCCTTACATTTCAGTCTTCAATCGATTCTGAGTTTATGTTGTTATATGGTGTTACATAGGAAGCTAATATCGTTCTTCTCCATATGGATATTTAGTTTTCCCAGTGTCATTCATTTGAAGAGGCTGTCCTTTCCCCAGCGTATGTTCTTGGCATGTTCGTCCAAAATCAGTTGGCTGGAAATATGTGGATTTATTTCTGGGTGCCGTATTCTATGGTCTTTACCCCAAGAATCATTACTTCTTAAAATGCAATTCAAATTAGCATGAAACATTTGCAGTTTAAGGAAAGGCTTATAGCATCAGAATCCTTAATCATAGATTTCATTATTTTGTGTTTTTTTTTGAGATAGGGTCTTTGTCTGTCATCCAGGCAGAAGTGCAGTGATAATAATTCACTGCAGCCCTGAACTCTGGGTACAAGCCATCCTTTTGCCTCAGTATCCCAACTAGCTGGGTCTACAGGCATGAGCCACCATGCCCGGGTAATTAAAAAACATTTTTTTTTTGTAGAGATGGGGGTCTCACTATGTTGCTCTGGCTGATCTCAAATTCCTGGCCTCAAGTGATCTTTCTGCCACAGCTTTTTAAAGTGCTAGGATTACAGGAATGAGCCACCATGCCTAATATAGAGTGTAATATCACTTTCAAAGTCTTATTCCTAGACCCATTTATTGACTTTGGCCTAAATAACTCAATATGATATCTCTGAAACTTTTTTTGACATACTGTGGGGAATGATAATGAAGGAAGGGGGTTAGACACTTTTTACTAGGAGATAACTTTGTGCCATTTAAGGAGGAACAAAAATGAATTATCAGAAAAATAAAAGTAAAATGAAGTACAAAAATTCTGTGGCAAAGATGATGATAGTAAAGAATATATTTTTATGACTCATGGTAGCTTTAACTTTGTTCTTAAAATTCTGAGTAATTTAAGGGTTCACATTTGAAGAATCTGCTGCATTACAGATAACATTTTATTGCAAGTAAACGCATTTCAAAATTTGCTATTGGTTTTGTATTAGATTATTCTCAGCCTACTTCATTATCAAGCTATACTATTTTATTCATGCAATTTGATGATCTTATGGCGGAGAAGGAAGCAGTATCTTCAAAATGTGTCAATTTGCCTAAAGAGAATCAAGTTTTTCAACAGGAGTTATTATCTATGAAAAAAGTACAACAGGAATGTGAAAAACTTGAGGAGGATAAAAATATGTTGGAAGAAGAAATATTAAATCTTAAGACACATATGGAAAACAGTATGGTAGAACTTAGTAAACTACAAGAATATAAATCAGAGCTAGATGAAAGGGCAATGCTGGCAGTAGAAAAATTAGAAGAAATCCATTTACAGGTGAGTTGTTTAAATCAGGTAAGTTTACTTGTAATGTGCTTTCATTTATTTCACTGCAAATTATATTTTGGAGATATATATATATATATATATATATATACACATATATATATAGTGTTTCCTCTGCCTCTCTTGTAGCAATCTGCTTTGTAGAGTTCTAGAAAAAAATGGTATCTGTTTTTTCTTTTAAATATTTAAATTTCCATTATTATTATAACAAAATCAATCTTTCAGAGTAATGATTCTCATTATGGAGTCATTTGATGATTAAGACCAGTTGGCACAGGAAAAAATTGTGATTTAGAAATTATGTGATAATTATGAATTGGTCTTAAGCTACAGTGTTCATTGATCACTTTTTAAAACTATGAATGGATTCTATTACTTTTTATATGACCAGATTACATTAATACTAGCATAATTATGATTTCAAATTTTTACAAGTCAGACTTAATTCTGAATTCAGTTATTACTTTTGATATTGCTGAAATATTTTAAACTTCATCCTCTTTTTTAACATATTCAAAAATACTCTTTGAATCACTGACTCAAAATGAAAGGCAACTAACATAATAATTAGGTTATAATTGTTTTAAAAGTGTATTATTTTCCTCTGTTTTAGGAACAAGCACAATATAAAAAACAATTAGAGCAGTTAAACAAGGATATAATACAGCTTCACTAAATAAGAAGGAACTCACACTTAAAGATGTGGAACGTAAATTCTACAAAATGAAAACTGCTTATGAAGACGTTACAACTGAGTTAGAAGAATATAAGGAAGCCTTTGCAGCAGCATTGAAAGCTAACAGTTCCATGTCAAAAAAATTAACTAAGTAAGTCAAAACATACACTCATAGAAAATGAATTAAGCTCATTAATTTGTTTCAAAAGCATAATTTTTAGTGAGATGGCTTCAGGAGATTAGAAGGAAGTGAATGCTAATTTGACAATGTAATTTTGAAAAATAATGTTAGTAAATAATTTTACCTTTAAAATGTTAGTCAAAGATAGTTTTTGTCTCTCCTCTCATTTTTTTTTTTGCTTTTGTATGGCTTTTTTTCCTGAAAAGTCTCATGTAATTAACCTGATCTGTTAGTTTTTTTCACTAAGTATTTTTGAAGCTTTATAATTAATGAAGTGATCTTGTTATAAAATTACTTGTCAGAATTTCCCTAAATAGAAATATTAATGTGTTTAATTTACTTTTCAGTGGATCACAACCTAAATGCAAAGTGGTACTGCTACTCTGGGCACAATTGTTTTTGATTGTGATCTTTAGTATTATCACCAGAGGGTGCCTCAAGAAAGACTATTTGTGTAACATATTCAAGATGTTACAGAAAGGCACCCTTGTGAAATAGGGAATAATTATCACAGGAATTTAAAGAACTGTAATTCACAAAGCTGTTAAAAAATAACACCTTGTTCAGCCTGAAGCGGTGTGTGGAAGGCAGAAAGAACATGCCCCACCTCCAGGGCCTTGGTCACAGTGTTGGGGGCTAATAGCCTTCAGAGATGCTTTAGTTCTTTTTGATCACCAACCAGACAATCTAGTTCTCCCCTAGGAGTTGTTGCTCTGAATTATTCCTCAGTGCCAAATGTTTAATTGGTCCTAGATAATGGGTGAAATGTACAAGAGTGAAATCCAAAACTGGTTTACTAAACACAAGTATTCCTAGATTTTTTTTCATTCATTTTAGTTTTCTTAACCTACATTAAGGAGTACAACATGATGTTTTGATATAATTATTTCTAGTGAAGTGGTTCTTATAATCAAGCAAATCAACATATTCATTTTCCCACATTATTACCCTTTAAATACAAGTATTTCTAATGGAATCTTCAGAATCTTACAAGTAGAGCCATTTTAGAAGGCAGGAAGTTTTACCTGTTGAGCCATACGTCACTGATAGCCATTTCTCTTCCCTGTCTACTTTGTTTGAACTGCTTGTTCAGTAGAAATCACCTTAGAAACAATGGTGCTTCTTTAGAACGATTTTAAAATTATAATTCCTTACAACAGGTATGCTCTTACACATCTTCGGTGTGAAAACACTATTTAGTGGGTAATTTGGTTTACTCTCAGGGTAAGTTTTTAAAAACTGCAAGTCATTAAGAATCATTTAAGGAAAAATGAAATATTAAGCATTTGTCTTTGCTATCTTTACAGATCGAATAAGAAAATAGCAATGATCAGTATCAGCTCTTTATGGAGAAAGAGCAGGTGAAATATTTTCTCAGCACTCTTCCTACAAGGCGAGGTCGAGAGTCACCTTGTGTTGAAAATCTTACTAGTATAGGACTCAACAGAAAATATATTCCCCAAATGCCCGTAAGAATTC